>NC_000001.11:229820485-229972000 GCF_000001405.40 Homo sapiens
CTTACTATATTTACTAGCTCTGATGCGTGCTCCCCCTCTTCTCCTGGGTTTATGGGTAAGGACTAAGTTTCTTAGGTAAAAGATTTCAATGTAGATCTTCAAACTCTCATCGAGATAGCTGGCTTAGAAGCAACTAACCCCTAAAAGAAAATTTTAAAATCTTAAAGAAAATTATAGCATTATTATTACAGGCTAACATGTACTGAGCTCTTGCAATGAGCATGCACTTGGATGAAGTGTATTACATCGATTGTTTCATTAATCTTCCCAACACCTTCAAAGATGTGAGTATTATTTATACTTTTATCACTGTGTATAACTATTTTAAAGATAAGAAAACTGAGGCTTGGAAAGATGAAGTGTCTGGCCCAAGGGTCCCACAACTACTGATGGACAGAGCCCAGGATGAACTTGGGCCTGACTCTAGTGCCCAAGCCATTGGCCTTAAGCACAATACTTGTTACATTGTCCCTGGGACAATATCAGCTCTGGGCTTCTTATTTTAAGAAAATTTTAAGTAAGTAGAGTGAATTCACAGGCTATGGCAAGGGAGAACCAAACAATGTCATCCATGTAACTGTAAAGCATCTGGGGATGTTTTACCTAGAACAGGGTCTCTCGAAACTGGCATGTTGACATTTGGGGCTGGGTTGTTTTTTGTCAGTGAAAGCCCTGTCCTGTGCATTTTAGGATGTTTAGTAACACCCCTGGGCTCTAACCACTCGATGCCAGCAGCACACTCTCCCACAGTTGTGACAGCCCCAAATATCTCCTACATTACTGAATGTCCTCTGCATGGGCAAAGGACCCACCCAACCTACATCTGAGAACCACTGACTTGGAGCAATGAAGGCTCAGGAGAACATACTGTCATCAGATATTTAAAAGGCTGTCTCAAGATGTATGATCTTGATGAGGACCCTGAGAAGTCACTTTGATTCAGAAGCATTGGGTCTTCCTCTGAAATTTGGTGCATGGGTAAGAGTTAGCTAGAAGAGGGAAGCCTGGAAAGAAAAATTCCCCAAACAGAAGTGGGCCTGGCCAGAGAGCCAGAGTGGAGTCATGAGACTACAGCAGCAGGAGCCATGGGATCCCATTCATTGAATATTTTGTGTAAGGTTTAGGTTATCAGATAATGAGGAGGCGCAAGATTTAGTCTTTTTCCCCCTCTGGATATTTAGATGGGTTTCAGTAAATTTATTTTTTTACTTCTTGTATTTATTCAATGCATATTTATTTGGTGCTTACTATGTATATCATTATATTGAATGGAATTATCTCTTTCCACCCCCAGGGCCTGGCACATGATAGATGTTCAGTAAGTGCTTGTCGAACATGCTCTTGAATTGATTAAGAAGGAAAATTGCTTGTGAAAATAAGGCCTTCTTGGAAATGTTTTTTTTTTATTGCTTTTCATCCTACCAAGATGTTACTTATCAGTGGGTGGGCTGCCTTCTGATGACATTTGATGGTCTAGTCATATAAGTACTCTGGATCTATGATGAAAATGCAATGAATTTCTATTGACCAACCTATTTAACTCCCTAAATGTTTAACATCCTCCGGTGTTCCTTGGTGTGGCAGAATTTCGTGGAAATAGAATCTGAGGAAGTTTTGCCAATTGGTAGTATGGATGTGGTTGGGGATGGATGGGAATGAGTACAGTACAATGTCATGCTCCCTCTGAGGTTGGAGGCAGTTCTGTAGGTGGAGCATGACTCAGAAATGGGCATTCACTTGAGACAGCGGAGATAGGGGCTCAGGAAAGAAGCCAGAAGCTCATACACTAGAGATAAAATCATGTCGGCAGGCCTATGCAAGGAACAAATAAGAAACATTTCTATTTGTATTGGCTTTTCATAAGAAAATAATGTTACATTTTGTTCTGGCTATAAAAACTGTTGAATGATTATTGTAGGAAAAAGGTAGAGCATAAAGTAGAAAACAAGAATCAACTCTTACTCCTTTGCCCCAGAGATTACAGCTGTTAACATCCTAATGCATTTCTTTGCAACTTTTTTTGTACACATATGACCTCTTAGTGTATTATGAACACTTTCCCATGTCATTAAAAGTGAAACTGAGTGGCTGAAAAATATTTTATTTGGTATTTCACCATTGCTTCTTTAACCTTGTGCTTGTTTTCCAATTTTCAGTTATAAATAATGTTGCAATATGGAAAATTTTTGTCTTCAGGAAGTCAGCATGGGGTTAGGGAGATGCTGGCTCTAAACAGCATACACTCCTAGGATTTGAGAGGAAGGGGGATATGAAGGGCATCATCCAGCCGCAGAAAATTACCCTATTCTAAGAGTGTTGTTGCTGAGGCTAAGGTGTCTCCCATTTGGAAGGTCTCCGTGTGCCACAGGGTGTAGTCTTTGTGTTTATTGCATGCTATAGGCTCTTCGGAGATGTGCAACATTAGCCTTGTTTCCAAGCTTCCATTGTGGAGATTTACTAAATCTCATAAAGATTAGGATGTGCAATATGGTAACCGAATAAGAGAAGAGTCAAAGAGCAAGAAATGTGAATGCTTTTTCAGTGCTATGTTAGCAGAGGATGACCTTAGCAGATCTCTCCCCATAGTGTTGCAGGTGTGTAGTATAATAAAAAATATGTTTGGTCTTTGTCCATAGTTCTTGACACAAACCCTTAGAATTTCCCTAATGATAGGAGTATCTTTTATTACTCATAAGGAGTCCCTTTGACCATGCCTGAGTTTATGCTAATAAGGTGACTCTTGGTGGGCTTCTTGACAGCTTCAGGGTGAGGACAGGTGGCCAGGGGAACTCATCATGTGATTTGAGGGTGGGAACTTTCAGCTCCACTCCCTGACCTCCTGGGAGGAGGTGATGGGTTACGTTCAGTCCTGTGGCCTGTGATTTAATTGATGTAATAAAATTTTGATAGAAACAGTGAAACAATGAGGCTAAGAGAGCTCTGTGTTGGTGAACACATAGATGTGCTAGGAGGTGGTGTATGCCCAGATTCCACAAGGAGAGGGTATGGAAACTCTGCACCCTTACCCTCATCCACCATACCTGCCTTGTGCATCTCTTCCATTTGGCTGTTTCTGAGACATATTCTTTTAAACAAAATCCTGAGTTCAGCGTTCATTCTAACAAATTATCAAATGTGATGTGGGGTTGTAGGAACTTCCAATTTTATAACCCATTGGGCAGAAGTGTGGGTGGTTCATGGGATTTTCTATAGGCATAAAAAGTGAAAGCTTGGTGGGACTGAGACCTTCACCTGTGGGGTCTGCACTAACTCCAGGGAGTTAGTGCCAGAACTGAACTGAAATGTAGGGCAGCCAGTTGGTGTTGGAGAACTGGTTGTTGTCGGAGCTACACAGGGTGCATCAGGCCACTTAGCTTCTCACTTGCAATCAGCCTGCCTGCTCTGCTTTCTTCTGATTCTACTCTTTCCAACCTGTGAACCCTGAAAGAGCCAATCCTTCAAGAAGGATCATGACTGGCTAACTGGGCCTAAATTCAAAATGAGGTCAAGGTGCCATTCACTGTCTAGAGGTCACACACATACTTCGTGTTCTGGAAAAAACACCTGCTCACATAACTTTGAGACTCTCATATCTGTCTTACTGTTTATGCTGCCTGAATCAATGACTGCCAGCACTTGGACCTAACCAATAGACTGTGACCTATGGCCAATCTTATTTATTTATTTAAACAAATTGAGACAGGATTTCACTACATTATGCAGGCTGGATTTGAACTCCTGGACTCAAGCAATTCTCTTGCCTCAGTCGCCAAAGTAGCTGGAACTACAGGCATATGCCAATGTGCCTGGCTATCTAGTGATGATTTTAACATCAACCAATGAGAATTAGGCAAGCTTGCATTCTTCATTTGCATAGAAGACTGGAGTGGGAACCTGGGAAGAAACTTTTTTTTTTTTTAATAAAGGACAACCCCTCTCTTTGTTCTGACAGAGTGTACCTTTGTTTTGTTATAGGTTACATCTCCCCAATTTGCAAGCTGTTCATGGAAATAAAGTCTTTCTCAACCTAATATTTCTTTCTCAGTAGTTTTGTTAACATTTCTTGGTGTCAGAAGAGGGAACTGAAGCAATCCTTGATCCTCCTATCGATGCCATTCTGAACCCATGCATTGGTACCTGTAAGAGCCCCTTGAACTCAGTTGTCTTCCTGGTGGCACCAGGAGATCTCAGGTAAGTCCTCTTGGATCCAGACCTCCCATGCCTTCTGGTTGAGGTCTTGGGGACTTTATCTCACTTTAGGGAGGGAACCCTTTTATTTGGTTTATAGACCCAATCCATAATGTTTTGTGAGGACACTCACACTTAAATTGCACCAGAAGAGATGCCTTCAATAGGTATGTGCAATGAGTAACTCATGTTCTGTCTTCCTCTGATGATCAGCCACCTTTGGCACTCCAGCTGGTTTCATAAGCAAAAATTATGGTCCAGAAAGTTGAACCAAATTGGTTGAGCCTCTGGACAAAAATCACCCAGGATAGTCTTAAACTTTGCTGGCCAAAGTGGGGCTCCTTCTAAATTTTGAAATGTATCTATCTGCACACATAATTGGAACAAAGAAAACACATAACCTCCCAGAGACAACACGAGGCTTTCTTTAATTGGTACTTTGAAAGTTCTACATGAAACCGAGAGGCTACTATTGCCTCTCTTAGAGAAGACAATTCCAAATTAAGATCCATTTAATAAATTAGAAAAGTTAGAATAAATTTAATAAATTAGAGATTAATAAATAGAAATTAAATAAAATTAATAATTAAATAAAATTAATAAATTAGAAAAAGAGACTAGTGTACTCAAAACTGAAACTAAACTTGCTACAACACACTGTAAGATTCTTTTTCCTCTTACCCTTGTGCCTATGAGATCAAAACCAAAGCCATTGAAACACCTCTGGAAGACACTTCTTCCACTAGCATCCTCTTACCTGCCACCCTGCCTGCCTTCCACACTTTCCACCACCTCCACTTTGTTCTTCACTCCTCCTTTCTTCTTGTACTCTTTCTGAACTCCCCTTTTTCTCCTCCCTTGATATTCCCACTTCCTCCAATACAGCTGACTTTTCCAGCCCTTCTTTGATAGCCTCCTTTAAGGTCCAAACAATGGGAAATGGAAACCAACAAAATGCATGCATACACCAATTGGGCTAAGTCAGAATTTCTGGCCCTGCTAAGAGACTTCCCTAATCCTAAAACCAACTCTTTTGAATTCAAACATTTTAGTCTAATCATCAGAACTTATTAACCTGGATTTTCCAACTCATGTGTTGGAAACCTGGATTTTATCAACTCATCCGTGTACTTGCGGGAAATGTTTTGGGTAGAGAATGGGTGCTAGCTGCTGAATGGGATAGCCCCCTAGAGGACTTTAAACTGGCTTGTGTTCAAGGATTTTAAAAGGCACAGAAACAGCCTGCCAGATTACTAAAAGCCATTCTCCTAATTTTTTTCCCACCAAGTAAACTGGAAAGCCTTATAGCACTGTACATAGAAAAAGGACAAACCTGTCTTTGATTATTTGTTAAATTTGAACAAACTTTCCAACAAAATTTAGAGATCACAGACTTAAATAATGAAATGCTCAATTCATTTAATTCCATTTTTTTGTGGCCAATCTTTCTGAAGTCCTCAATACCCTAGTAAAACAGCATGACTTTAATTGAGGTGCAAAACAACCCCATGAAATAGCCTGTTCCGCCAATCAAGTATCCAAAACTTTAGAAAAGGACAAAGAATCTACAGCCACTTGAGCCTTAGATTGTCAAGAAAAGACTACCAAGTTAATGGCCCTTCAGCTACAACAATTAGGGATTCCTCCAAAATGTCCTCTCCTCAAAATTAAAATTAAAAAACCCTGCTTTTTCTACAAACGCACTAAACATTTTAAGAAGGATTACCCCAGATGTAAATAATGGCTAAAGATAAATGCCGATAAAGCTACTTGGGCCTGCTTTGGGAACATTCAGGGGATATTTCCCATACTTAAAACTAACCAGCAAGAAGGACTAGATATTAAAATTGATGATAAAGTAGTCAGAGTTCTGGTTGACACTGGGGCTACTCTGTTCTACTCTATTTGTCCTTAACCCCGACATGCTTTCAATGACCTCTCCCCAGAGTTCTGAATTCATCCAAATGGTCAAGGTAGCCAACCAGCCTATGACAGATCCTAAATCTCTACCAATTTTCCATTTCAACTAGGATCTCTCACTATCAGTCATTGCTTTTTGCTTGTCCCATCAGCTCCCATACACCTCCTGGAAAGGGATTTCTCAGAAGCCTACCAGGCCCATATTTTATTCTCCCAAAAGGAGGAAATAATGCTTAAACTATATTCACCAGGAGATTTTTGCCACAGAAGCAGCTCTTACCCAAATACTCATCTATTCAGTTAGCCTCACCATTACCCATCTTGCCTTCCAAGAGCTACCTGATAGCCTTTGGCACAATCCAACACTGATGTTGGTCACAGCCATTCAGCACCTCCAATTAAAATCCACATTAACCATAATAAACCCCTCTCCAGTGTCAAACGATATCCCCTAGATCCTGAGGCCCTGGCTGGCAGACAACCCATAATGGATGATTTTATACCAAAAAAAAAATTTGTCCCTGCACCAGTCCTTGCAATACCCCCATCCTACTCATCCACAAGCCCAACAGTACAGGATGGCAATGTGTTCAGGATCTCTGGGCTATCAGTAACACAGTCAATCCCCAACACCCGTGGTTCTCAATCCCTATGCCCTATTTTCTAATGCTTCCCCTGAAATTTCCAGCTATCAATCTTTGTAGTGTCCTTTCCAGTATACCTATAGCTCCTGACAGCCAATACCTTTTTGCCTTAACTTGAGAAGGCCAACAATACACCTTGGTTGTCCTTCTCCAAGGGTATGCAGCAAGCCCAACCTACTTCTCCCAGATCCATAGGGCCAATTTAGCTACCATTTCTTTTTGGTGAGGGTCCACTTTACTCCAATATGTCAATGATTCATTCTTTTTTTCAATATGTTGATGATTTGTTCTTATGTTCCCCTTCCTAAGAGGTTTGCCTCCTTGGCAGCCTCTACCTACTTACTACACAATCTATCCTCTAAGGGACACAAAGTCTCCAAAGAAAACTAATTTTGTCAGACCTCTGTCAAATTCACGGGATATTTCCTAAGCCCCTCTTAGAGGTTAGGAGGTATCCTAGGAATTCAATAGAGGTAGACCCCTTGTGCCTACAATGTATATTGGCCTTTCCCCTTTGCCAAAGAGACAATTTTCTGGATTCTTGGGACTTGCAGGCTGTTGCTGAAATTGGCTTCTCAATTTTTCCTTAATGTCTCAGTTTCTCTGTAATCTCCTTAAAAGTTTCTCTCCCAATTCCATCCAATGGACTTTTGATGCCCAGGAGTCCTTTGAGAATACAAAAACTCAACTTACCTTGGCCCCAACCTTAGGACACTCTAATTATAACCTCTCTTTTAATCTGTTCACTCATGAATGCAAAGGGAATGCTCTGGGAGTTTTTACTCAACCTCTTGGAGGACAAAATAGACACATGGGATGCTATACTCAACAGATTATGTTCCTCAAGGACTTCCTTCTCACCTCAAAATGGCTTCTGCTGTTTTTATCCTTGTAAAAGCCACAGGAAAGATAGTGATGGGGTTTCCTCTCATTGTTTATGTTCCTTACTCTCTCAAGGCTCTTCTCAATTCTCATCACACTCAACATCTCCCTGCTAGCCTCCCGACTTTACCTGATGTAATTTTCTGGATCCTTCCACCTTATTTCCCCTTCCAAAAGATGACATTCCCTATGACTGTGCTACCTGAACAGATCAACTTCTCACCCCTTGGCTAGATCTCTGGGAGGCTCCCTTACCCAATACAGACTATAACTGGTTTACTGATGGGTTATAACTGAGGGGACCCAGTGGCAAATACCTAACTAGAAACTTGTTGTCTCTCTTAACCAGATTATTGAGTCTGGTCCCTTTCCTGATGCCATATCTGTCCAACAAGCAGAACTACATGTTTTTACTAGGGCATGTCTTTTAGCTAAAGATAAAACAGCCAATATTTATGTAAACAGTAGTCATGCCTTTAGAGAGTAGCTCATGATTTTGGCATGCTTTGGAAATAAAGAGGCTTCCTTACCTCATCTGGAAAGAAAATAAAAAACAAAGACCATGTCTTGGCACTCCTCAATGCCATTCAAGCTCCAAGAGCTTTAGCTATTATTAAAGTTCAGGGACATTCCTCTGCCCAAAATAAAGAAACATTTGGAAACAAAATGGTTGATATCGCTGCCAAGTCATCCATGTCCCAAAATATAACATAAATTCTATTAATCAAAAGCTCGCCTATTTCTTTTTCTTTTTCTTTTTTTTTTAATTTTACTTTAAGTTCCAGGATACAAGTACAGAAGTGTAGGTTTGTTACCTAGGTATACATGTGCCACGGTGGTTTGCTGCACCTATTAACCCATCATGTAGGTTTTAAGCCCTGCATGCATTAGGTATTTGTCTTAATGCTCTCCCTCCCCTCGTCCCCCACCCCCCGACAGGCCCCGGTGTGTGTTGTTCCCCTTCCTGTGTCCATGCGTTCTCATTGTTCAACTCCCACTTATGATGAGAACATGAAGCTTGCCCATTTCTGCCCTACTTCCAGTTCCCCAGTTATACCAAACGCTGGCTAAATCTCAGGCTATCTCAATGAAGGATAAAAGTGGGAAACTGCTTGAAGAATGTTGTTCTTTTGACTTTTTGCAGCCCTCTGGGTGGGTTCCAATTGCCACCCTGTTCTCCCTAATGGCCTCTAAAAGGATATTTTAACTTTCATTCATGACCTAACCATTGGAACATGGAAAAAACGGTCTAATGAGGGAAATAATAGTGTTGGGGTCCCTCTCTCACTATTGCCCACCTTGCCTTTCTGGAAGGGAGCAGATACTCTTTTTTTTTTTGAGACCTAAATGGGCTGGGCTTTTTTTTTTAATCGAGACCTAAATGGGCTGGGCTTTTTTAAAAATCAGATACTCTTTTTTTCTTTTTCTTTTTCTTTTTTTTTTTTTTTTTTTTGAGGGTCTTGCTCTGTCACCCAGGCTGGAGTGCGTGGCACCATCTCGCCTCACTGCAACCTCCATCTCCCAGGTTCAAGCGACTCTCCTGCCTCAGCCTCCTGAGTATCTGGGATTACAGCTACTTAACTGGGCAAAATCTGTCCACAGTACAATCCTGGAAAACGATTACATGCCCCCATGGACCACTTTTCACTACCAAATGCCCCTTCAAGATATGGCAACAAGATTCAGTTCAACTTTCTACCTCACAAGGGTACCAGTATGTGTTGGCTATGGTTTGAATGTTTTCACATTGGCCTGAAGCTTTCCCCTGTCATCAGACCATAGCCATGGCAGTAGCTAAGGCCCTAGCAGAAAAAAATTATACTAACCTGAGGAGTCCCACGAGAACTTCACAGTGACTCAGGAGCTTGTTTTACAGGGCAAATTATTAAAAGTGTTTCTAAAATTTGGTCTATCAACATTTCTGTGCTTACCATCCCCAGCCCTCCAGAGCAATAGAACGAGCCAATGGAATAATAAAAATCCAATAGGTAAAAATCTGTGCAGTCTTTAACCTGCCATGGCCCAAGGCTCTTCTTTTAGTCATCCTCAACTTTCATTCCACTTCTACAGAAAAACATAAATTATCTCCTTTGGAAATTATTAGCAGCCACCCTATGTGCCTAGATGAAATACTTCACCAGCCAGTACTCATCAAAGGAGGCCTCCTACATTAGTGCAAGGAGCTCATTAATGTCTGCAACATAGTATTAACTTTGTCAAATATTCCTTTAATTGTGTGCTCCCAGGAGACGAAGAACATCCTTTTAACTTCAGACCTGGAGACTTTGTGTATTGGAAAAGACATCAGCTTAAGAATTCCCTCCAGCCTTTCTGGAAGGGACCAGGTACTCTTTTTTTCTTTCTTTCTTTTTTTTTTTTTTTTTTTTTGAGACTTAAATGGGCTGGGCTTTTTTTTTAATCAGATACTTTTTTTTTTTTTTTGAGGGTCTTGCTCTGCCACCCAGGCTGGAGTGCAGTGGTGCCATCTCGCCTCACTGCAACCTCCATCTCCCAGGTTCAAGCGACTTTCCTGCCTCAGCCTCCCGAGTAACTGGGATTACAGGTGCCTGCCATCATGCCTAGCTAATTTTTGTATTTTTAGTAAAGATGAGGTTTTAGCATTTTGGCCAGCCTGGTCTGGGACTCCTGACTTCAAGTGATCTGCCCACCTCAGCCTCCCAACGTGCTGGGATTACTGGTGTGAGCCACCATGCCTGGCCTCTATCAGGTACTCTTAACTGACTCATGTGCTGCTAAATTACAAAGCACTGACTCATGGATTATTATTTATCATTTTAAAAAGTCTTCTGATCCTCCTCCTAAGTGAACCTCCCAACCTGTCACTGATAGCAAACTTAAGTTGATCAAAGTAGAGCTGGCAGGACAAGAAGACAACATCTGATGGAGTCTACTTTCTCCCAAGATACCAGACTTAGCCCATAAGCTTCTGCAAACTGTGGGACATCTTGCCTGATGAACTTCTCATAAACCCTTCTTTTACCTAATGTTGTACTTTCTCCTTCTCCTTCCTTTACTACCCTTGCCATTTCTTCCTACTGATGGAAAGATGATTCCTTAATACAACTATCCCAATCCTTTGCCTCTGCAGGCAACTTAACTGAATGTTGGTTATGCCACCTTTCCCCAGCCAGACCATTTGGAGAAACCAATGACCCTCTGATCATCTCAGTTACCAACCTCACTCACAGGCCCAACTGCTCAGCACCCCTTTTTGAACCACTGGCTGTAGCCTATTGGATGATCACCTGTGCTCCTGAAGTTCTCCCTGCTTTTTCCTCACTGGGATATCCCATGAAAATCTTTGTTTCTCTGCCTGTCATTTCCTCCACTTGGAATGAATACTCACTGCCCCTCTGTTCTGCATACCTCACAGAATCCTGTAAAAATAAAATGTTTAGTGGAACCCCCCCTCTGAAGATTATATGAAAGAAACCATGGAGTTTCCCCCTTGACTTCCCAGGTCTTCCAGTTAAATCATACCTCTCTGTCTTTACCTAAGACCAGCTCTTGGTTTGACCGAACCCTCTTTTTTGTCTGTAAGTGGCTCCTTGGATTTTTATAACCTCTTGGGACAATTATGTTTCCCTCCAGGCTGTCTTTTTGGCTGCAGGTATCTTGGCTGAGATTTTGCCTACCATTGTCTCAGGTCCTGGGAAAATGCAGGCATTTGGTTTCTGGGTTGAGTTTTTCTCCTATCACCATTATCTCCCTAACTCTGAGACTATAAAGTCTGTATTCCAGGGTCAGGGTCAAAAGAGTCCTATAAATAATTGATGAGTACCCTGGTGACAACCCCTCAGACTATGAAGATGACAGTTGTGAACACTGCCAAGGATGCAGTTTACCCAGAGGTGTGAACCCAAGTAGAGGAGCTATAGATTAGGAAGGATTCCAGGGTAATGATTTTGACTGAGCCATGCTTGGGAGAAATATATGTTGAGACACCTTTCCCACACTGTTAAGAGAATGGCCCAGCCCACCACTCAAGCCATCATGGCACAACAGACGTCCCTACTTTCCCTTGCTTATGTGGTCCTGGACAACTGCATTGCATTAGACTATCTCCTTGGGTGGTGTTTGTGTGGTCACTAACACTTCTCATTGCACCTGGGTAAATACTGCCAGTCAGTTGAATTAGAAATATCCAAGATCCTAAAGCTAGCCAAATCTCTGAAAGGGACACCTTCAGAAAGCCCTTGACTGGATCTACTACAACTTCTGTCTGGTATAGTATCCCTTTTGTGTTCCCCTCTACAATGCTTACTTAATGATCCTCCTCATACTTGGACTAAGTATTTGGCTCCTCTTTAAAATCATTCTTGCCTGTTTTAAGAGATGTCTGCAAGAGACTCCCACCAGAATCATGCTGACCCAATACCTTAAGACTTTAAACTCACTCCATCCAGAAATACCAGAAATGAACCAACTTAACCCAAGATACTTTAATTCAAATTTAACAGGTACCTGTTTGCCTCTTGTAGGTAAATGGCTCTAGTTGCTCAACTAACCACTGCCCTGCCATGAGGATCCCAGTGTGGGACTAGATGGGCCCAGAGAAGGAAGCCGACCACTCTGGCACCATGATGGGACATAACCCACCACCAATCACCAGAGCTGTCTGATGACAGGTTTTGATCAAAAGCAGGAACTGTCTACTTTGAAAAAGCCAGTTCTTCAAGATTGATCGTGAATGATTAACTGAGCCTAAATTCAAATGGACCCAAGCGGCCATTTACTGACTAAAGGTTAAACATGTACTCTGTACTCCTGGAAAAACCACACACTCCATAACTTTGGGACACTCATATCTGTCCCTTTTTATGCTGCCTGAATCAATGGCTGCCAACACCTGGACCCAACCAATAAACTATAACCTCTGGTCAATCTTAACATCAACCAGTAAGAACTAAGCAAGTTTGCAACCCTCATTTGCATAGCATACTGGAGTGGAAGCCTGGGAAAAAACTTTTTCTATAAAGGACAACCCCTTTCTTTGTTCCAGTTGAGTGTACCTTTGTTGTATTGGAGGCTGCATCTCCCTGGTTTGCAAACTGCTCACAGAAATAAAGTGTCTCTTAATCTAATGCTTCTTTCTCAATAGTTTTGTTAACAAATCAACCTTGATGGTAATTTGGTTTCTCAGACTTTTCTATGGTAGAAAGATTGAGTTGACTAATCAACACATTTTAGGAATTATATTTCTCAGCACAGAATAAATAGAATGAGGCAATGGGTTCCTAGTCTCTCTTGCTAGGGTATAGTATTACCACCAAATGGGATTCCCAGACCCTGGTTTGCTGAAGAAGACTTTTCTGATTTTAAACCCCAAAATCCTATGCCCTGGGAAGTGCCTCATTCCTGGGAAGACTGAGACTGCTTGTCACCCTACCACCAGGACAAGAGCCTCCTGAGAATCGAAGTTGAGCACCAGAGTCTTGATCTTTGAGGACAATTGTCCAGTCCCACTGGCACATGTTTATTCTGTCCCCACGAGAAGCCACAGCCTGCCAGGCATTCAGTGAGGCTCACTATCTTAACTGAAGCACATTTAATCTGTAAATATCTGGAAAGCAGATCCAACACCCGAAGGCTGTCATTATAACTCCCTGTAAAGAAAGCCATTACTAAAAGCAGAGAAGTCCAGTAATGGAACGGGTCCAGGGCCAAGGAGTAGGTTTTCTGACAGTATTCCTAGACAGACCAATTGCTCCTCTCTCACAGATAATCCCTAGACCAGCATGGCAAAATTTAGTGAGTGAGTTGTTAAAAATTGCAGATTCCTGAGTGATTTTCCCCCATATTCTGCTTTGGTATATCCAAGGGTAAAGCCAAGGATTCTGCATTTTTAAGTTTCACCATCCATGCTGGTGATCTATAGACCACACTTTGAGAACCACAGCCTTAAAGAAATTGGAACACTAAATGTTTTCATACTCCTGTAGTTTCCAAATATATGTATTACTCATATATATCATCTTCTAGAATCTAATCAATTTTATTTCATCTAATTTAAATATAGTTGTAGCCATTAAACTTTTAAGTGTGTAGCCAGGCCCAGTGGCTCACCTCTGTAATCCCAGCACTTTGGGAGGCTGAGGCGGGCAGATCACTTGAACCCAGAAGTTCGAGATCAGCCTGGGAAACATGGTGAAACCCCATCTCTACGAAAATACAAAAAATTAGCTGGCCATTGTGGCATGTGCCTACTGTAGCCCCAGCTACTCAGGAGGCTGAGGTGGGAGAATCACTTGAGCCCAGGGGTTTGAGGCTGCAGTGAGCTGGGATCATGCCACTGCACTGAGTGACACAGCAAGATCTTGTCTCAAAAAACAAAAACAAAACACAAAAACCAAAAAACTTTTAAGTGTGCTTTAATCTCTGTTCCTTGGCATTTTTCTCATATAAAGAAATTTATTTATTTTTATTTATTTATTTATTTTGAGACGGAGTTTCACTGTTGTTGCCCAGGCTGGAGTGCAGTGGCGCGATCTCGGCTCACTGAACTCTGCCTCCTAAGTTCAAGTGATTCTCCTGCCTCAGCCTCTTTAGTAGCTGGGACTACAGGCGCACGCCACCAAGCCCAGCTAATTTTTTGTATTTTTAGTAGAGACAGGGTTTCACCATGTTAGCCAAGCTGATCTCGAACTCCTGACCTCAGGTGATCCACCTGCCTTGGCATCCCAAAGTGTTGAGATTACAGGGATGAGCCACCACCCTAGCCCATATAAACAAATTTATAAATTGAGTAACATTCTTTATCGGACCGTTTGTTCTTTTTATTTTAATTGGAGGAAAAAATGAGTGAATTCATAGAAGACAGAAGAAGACTTCAGGGGCTGTGTCTATGTTGCAAACAGTTTTCTGCCAGCTGCCCCAGATCTCAGGAACTAAAAAAATCACTTTATTGGAACCACCTTGCTGGGCCTCTCCCTCCCTGTTCAGAGCAGCTAATGAGGGGTCTGGAGAGTAGCTCTATTAAACAAAACGCAAAGAGTGCGTTGGGTGGTGGTATCTCATGTTAATGGTACAAAGCCTTCTCTCTGTTTGTTTTGCATATAGAATTCATTATATGGCATCAGCTGTCTCTGATTTCTTTTTTCCCCAAGAGGGAGACCATTAGAAGCAGGTGAAGACAGAATTATAACGAGCCCAAATCAGATTGCTGTTGGGATTTTATGCAGAGGAGCTTTTGTTTTCCTCTTCAAGTCTGCTTGAATTCCTCCCAGCTACTTCAGGCTTCTGCCTCTGCTCCACTGGCTCCCTGAAGCAGGCACCAAATGCTGGGGTTGCCTGTTATCAGAGCAAAACAAACACCTTCTGCCTCCAGCCCCGTTGTTCCAGTGAATATGGAAAGTTTGTGTGGCTGACTGGGTTTCGGGGAGATGCATTTGGCTGCCTCTCCTCACCTATTTCGTTTGTGCTCTATTAATCAAATGACTTGTGTTCCCCCCCCCCCCAAGCGCCCTTAAGATTGCTAATTAGTTACCTTAGGTCAGTTGGAGGCAATTTTCTCCATTTTATAGAAAATAACAGAGCAGCATCCCTCCTCCGAAGAAATAAGAATAACCCAGGCCCCCATCACCGGTGAAGGTCAAATGAGGGGTCTTTTCTCTGTGGAACAAATACCGGAGGAATAGCCACTCCATGCAAGAGACTAGGTGCTCCAGTGATTACAAAATGAGTTTGCAGCACACACACAGTTTCTGGTCCTCAAGAATCCCATCCATCTCCTTACCTCCTCCTTTCCCCTAGAGAGGAACTCAGAGTTCGACTTTTCTCTCTTTCTCCCTTTGCTGTGTTACTATTTCCATGAGCTCTCCTGGAGTTTTCTCTCCTTGATGGTCCTCTGGGTGCCATCTTTATACTCACCCCCAGACAGAGTGATGAATGGCGTCTTCTCAAGGTGTTCTTTTACAGGTAGAATCGCAGCGATGATACCTGGAAAAAATCTATCAACACTCCATGGTGTCTTGGTTTTGGGATTGGACAACGATTTATGCCTTTAATTTAGGGAGCTGGTTTCCCTTGTTTTATCTTTCAGGGGACAAGCCCAGCCCATTTAGGCTGTCAGTGAGCGGCAGTACCATCGACAGTCTAAACATTCTCTAGACCTTAATATTATTCTCATGTTAAATTCAGTTTAGCCTAAAGCTGCCTCCTTACCTATTTAAAGTTCAGCCTAAACGTTGCTCCATACATAGTGAACCCAATTGGATGTGTAAAGAGACCGTAACCTACTCTTGGAACAAGTAGCCGAGTCTCAGCCAATCACAAAAGCTGTACTTCAACCAATCACAGGCAGCCAACTGTTCAAACTGTATTCAAATAAGGCAAATACCGAGCTGCAGCCAATCGGGCTGTTTCTGTGCCTCACTTCTGCTTTCTGTACGTCGCTTTCTCCTTTCTGTCCATAAATCCTCTCCCACCACGTGGCAAAGCCAGGGTCTGAATCTGCTCTGGCTCAGGGGCTGCCTGATATGTGAAACGTTCTTGGCTCAATTAAACTCTGTTAAATTTAATTTATCCAAAGCTTTTCTTTTAATATTCAGGTGGCCCAAACAGAGCCAAGAAGAAGACAAGAAACTTAGGGAAGTGGGAATTGGGGGTGAAGAGACTAGGGGATCTCAAATAAGAGAGAAGATGGCAAGGATAGGGAGGAAAAAATAGAAACGAACTCCAGAAAAGAGAGACTTGAGTGAGAACCTGAACTAAGAATTCCAAATTAAGTTTTATTTCTTATACCCTAAGTATAGAAAATACATTGTACAGACAGTCCTTGTTTTGCATGCAAGAATTTCAGTTTTTACAGTTGAGTTAAAACTGTACTAGTGATCCAAGTATATACTGGCAGTCTTCCTGTGTATACCAGTCCCTCAGAAACATCGTTCAGCTTTCAGTTACCACAATATATTAATTGTGGATAATTGTAGCTCTTTCCAACTAATTCCTAAGTAAATAACAGATGCATATTATGATCAGTGGCCAACCATGCCACTTCTTTCAAAGTCTGTTGCATCTGTTATCCAGGACTCCAGTTTTTACATAGATGGCAAAGTGTGTGATCATGTCACCTCCTTGTCTCCCAGTGATAATCCTTGTGTCATTTTACAAAAATGGATAATTGGCCGGGCATGGTGGCTCACACCTGTAATCCCAGCACTTTGGGAGGCCGAGGCAGGTGGATCACCTGAGGTCAGGAGTTTGAGACCAGCCTGGTCAATGTGGTGAAACCCCATCTCTACTAAAAATACAAAAAGTAGCTGGGTGTGGTGGTGGGCACCTGTAATCCTAGCTATTCAGGAGGCTGAGGTGGGAGAATCACTTGAACCCGGGAGGCAGAGGTTGCAGTGAGCCGAGATCACGCCATTGCACTCCAACCTGGGTGACAAGAGTGAAACTTCATCTTAAAAAAAAAAAAAAGATAATCAAAAGAAGAAATTGGACAACAAAGATGAAAGTACAACAAAGAAAGTGAATTTCACCTGCTGGAAGTGAAATTGAACATGATTAAATGATTTGAAAATAACAACAAGAAAGCAAAGTTAGGAGAGACCAAGGTCTGCATGAAACTACTCTATATAAATTGTATATTAAAAGTTCAGAGAATAGAAAAACCAAGAAAGTGGCATCAGCAAAAAATTTAATGTTAATGGAACTCTCCGAGATATTCCATGACATTGAAAGCACTGAGGATAAAATATTGGAAACAGATCCAGACTTATAAAGGAGTAGGATGCTTTGCCAAGGCATAAAAAAGAGGCTCACTCAGTATTGTAAGCTTTATGATAAGAAGAAGGCAGCCACTGTTCAAACACCTCTTAGTATTTTTTTTACAAAGAAATAAAACACTTTAATTTTGAATGTTTCTAATGTTTAAATTATAGTGTACTAAATAACTATTCGTTTTACTAGCTTTTAATTTCCCTGTCTATTTATAACTGACAGCAGGGGAGTTTTTAAAAGCCGTAAGACAGTAATAATTTCTCCCATTGATTACTGAGATGATGGCTTTGCATGGTTTCAGCGACTTGCATGGTCATTTTTCTGGTTTGGCACTACCAGGTGAAGTATATACTTGGATCACAGGGTATTTGTGCATAGGTGAAGCAAGACTAATCATCACGATTTGTAAATTATATCAATTATAAGTAATATGGTCCTTTTTTAAAAAAAAAAAAAAGGGAGAGGTTTCTGGCTCTGCGTGCATGTGTGTATGCGTGTGCGAGCATGTGCGTGTGTGTGTAATTCGAAGTTGGCAACTGGCCTTTCTGTCTGCTGAATGCTGAATGAAATTCCCATGAGGCCCTACTCTCTTTTTGAGATTTCCTCTAATTTCTAGGGTGCAGGCTGGTGCAGAGTCTTACATCTTTCTGATCTCCTTTGCTTCTGCGATTCCATCTTCCTCAAGGGCTGCCTCAACCACTGCTTATGATATGGATTCAGCCCCTTCTTTTATTTCCACAACATGGAAGTCACTTACACCAGGCTTTCCTGAGCTCAGCAAACTTCATTGAGGATTGCGGGGGTGTGGGGGGAGGGGGCATGAAGAAGTCACATAATGAAGTGCACAGCTTTGTGCCATTCCACTCGTCCCCCTCTCTGTTTTCCCTTCCCTCTCCCTCGCCCCTCTGGAAACAATGAATTCCTTTCCCTGGGATATTTACAGGATCTTCCCCCATTGGCTCTCAGATGTGGGGGTAATTTGGGACTCTCTCAACTTTTAACTATGGCAAGTATTTATCTAAGCATCTTTCCAACCAAAGTCAGGTATCTTCTGAAGAGCAATTCTGGTGCCAGCTATTATGTTAATAAAGTTTTATATATAGACATATACGTATAGGTATAGAGAGAGTACACATAAGAAAGAAGAGAATTACATACATGAAAATGTTAACACTCAGTGAGTATCTCTGGGTGGTCAGGATTATAGATGATTGTTATTTTCTTCTTTTTACTTTTCTACGATAAACATATTTTATAAAATGTGCACAATGCACATATATTAAATTTTAATAAGAAAAACATTATTAAAATAGTTTGTGAGCCATCCCTGACAAAGGCAAGGGCACAAGGAGCACGGAGGAGAAGGTCTGAGTCGGCCAGGGAGCGGGAGGGAACACCAGAATAGGGGACTTGGGGAGGAAACAATGAAACAAAGAAATGGGAAAGGAACCAGATCATCACTTGAAGGTAACATAATTTGGCTCCATTGTGTTCCTGCTTTAGGAGGTTGACTAACAATTACCATGATAATTATAACAATTTCAGGTTCCTCTTCTGCACACTGTACTTTCATTATCCTCCAAGGCATTGTGCTTGTTCCTAACATCCTGCTACTACAAAAGAAGAAGTCTAATACGTGCATCCTTAATTTTAGCGAGAGCCCATGCTTGGCTCCGATACAATACCATTTTCAAGTTGCCTGCATATGTTAAAATGAGAATTTTATTGTCCCATCCCACCACAACCCATTCAATCCCGCAGTAGTTTTTAGAAAGACCAATCATTTGGGACCAGAAAGAGCAATGCGTCTTCCCAAGGATACGATGCACCCACCTTCCTTCTGTCCGGTACCTCACCACACCCCGTCTTACTCTGGGGCTTTTCTTTTCCTTGCAACTGAGAACTACAGTTCTCTCAATTTTTATTCAACTTGGGGGTTGTCACCAGTGTTGGCATGACTCCAGCATTGGGATTTAGAAAGGGCAGGGAGCTGTTGAAGGGGAAGGGGCTGGTAATCGGGTTTGGGGATGGTAGAGGACAGGAACAGGCTCAGCAGCATCTCTCCAGCCCCACAACCCCACAAGAATTAAAGGGCGGTGAGCAGGGTGGCATGCAGTCATGATGGAGGGCAGCTGTTGGAGGGGATCACTGAAGCCCCTAGTGGCTGTGTACATAGTTATTTTACTTTTGACTCTCTCAAGTCTTCCCGTTTAACACAAACAGAGGCAATTATGACAAAGTCAAAAAATAACAGATGCTGGTGAGGAAACAGAAAAGAGAATGCTTGTACACTACTGGTGGGAAGGTAAATCAGTACAACCCCTATGGAAAATAGTATGGAGATGTTTCAAAGAACTAAAAATAGAACTACCATTTAATCCAGGAATCCCACTACTGGGTATCTGCCCAAAGGGAAAGAAATCATTATATCAAAAAGATACCTGCACTCATATGTTTATTGCAGCATTAATCACAATAGCAAAAATATGGAATCAACCTAAGTGTCCATCAATGGATGACTGGATAAAGAAAATGTGATGAGTGTGTGTGTGTGTGTGTGTGTGTGTGTGTGTCTGCGTGTGTCATGGAATAGTACTCAGCCACAAAAAAGAATAACATATCTTTTGCAGCAACATAAATCGAACTGGAGGCCATCATCTTAAGTGAAATAACTCAGAAACAGAGTCAAATACTGCATGTTCTCACTTGTAAGTGGGAGCTAAATGTGTATCCAAATGTGTACATGTGGAAATAGAGTATGGAATAATAGACATTGGAGACTCGGAAGGGTGGGAGGGTGGTGGAGGTGAGGGATGAAAAAGGACCTAATGAGTACAGTGTACACTGTTGGGCGAGGGTTACAGTGAAAGCCCAGACTTCACCACTACACAATATATCTATGTAACAAAGCTGCACTTGTACCCCCAAATCTATTTTCTAAATATTAATTAGAAAACACAATAAATCCTTCCCTCTTTAGCATTCTGACTCTTCCCATATCCCTCTTTCCTTATTACATTTCTTATATAATTCCTGGCTGGGTGTGGTGGTTTATGCTTTGGGAGCCAAGGTGGGCAGCACTTTGGGAGGCCAAGGTGGGCAGATCACTTGAGCTCAGGAGTTTGAGACCAGCCTGGGTAACATGGTGAAACCCAGTCTCTACTAAAAAAAAAATATATATATATATACATACATAAATTAGCCGGGCATGGTGGCACATGCCTGTAACCCCAGCTACTCGGGAGGCTGAGGCAGGAGAATCGCTTGAGCCTGGGAGGCGGAGGTTTCAGTGAGCCGAGATTGTGCCACTGCACTCCAGCCTGGGCCACAGAGTGAGACTGTGTCTCAAAAAAAAAAAAAAAGAAAAGAAAAGAAAAGAAAGAAATTCTTATACAATTCCTTATTAAATTATTTCCTTGTTAACTTTCTTAAAAGGGAGATCCACACTTACTGACTCATTCCTTGCCTCCGGTTCACTCCTCAAACAAGTCCTGTCTGGATTTGGCACCCACGGCTTTATGCACTGATGAAATTAGTTTCGCTGAAGGCAGGGCTAATGTCCTGTTTTCTAGCCCTCATCCTGTTTCAACTCCTTGCAGTAGCTGATATCACTTTCACTTCTTCCCTCACACGTTCTTCTTTCGCAGATTTCCCCACTTCTTGATTAGTGGCTCTGCTGCCAACCTCCAGTTGTCTGAGCTATAATCCTTGGCAATCTCCTCAACTCCTTCTTTGCCAATATTAGACATATCTATAGAATCCATCCTCTTTTTTTTTTCTATTCCTAGTGCTACTTTCTTAGTTTAACTTGGCACATTCTTCATCTGAATTGTCTACCCTCTGGTCAAACCACTATTTTTAGCTGTGTATTATTATTATTGATTTCTAAGGTAGTTGCATTGTGATCAGAAACCATGGTTTGGATAATGCTTTGAAATTTGTTCTTTGTGTTTTATTGTTCTAGTATGTGATTAATTTTTATGAATGTTCCATATATACATGGAAAAGCATTTGTATTCTTGAGTTGTTGGGTGCTATGTTTCATATGTCTCCAACAGATCAAGCTTGTTCAAATGTTCTATAGCCTTATTGGTTTTCTGTCTACTGAGAGAGGTATGTTAAAGAATCTCACTGTGATAGTGTATTTGTCAACCTCTCTTTGTAGTTTTGTCCATTTTTACTCTATGCTCTTTTCTTTCCCTTAGATCCAGGGACAGACTGGATAATCTATGTATTCTGAAGTTATGTTATAAAGGGCATAGAAGTTTGGAATTATTATTATTATTATTATTTTTGAGATGGAGTCTCACTCTGTCACCCAGGCTGGAGTGCAATGGCACGATCTCAGCTCACTGCAGTCTCCGCCTCTCAGGTTCAAGTGATTCTCCTGCCTCAAGCCTCCCGAGTAGCTGGGATTACAGGTACCCGCCATGTTGCCTGGCTAATTTCTGAATTTTAGTAGAGATGGGGTTTCACCATTTCAGCCAGGCTGGTCTTGAACTCCTGACCTCAAGTGATCCGCCCACCTTGGCCTCCCACAGTGCTGGGATTACAGGTGTGAGCCACCATGCCCAGCCCGGAATTATTAAATCTTCTTGTGATCTTTATTTTTTTATCTCTTTATTGCTGATAATGCTTTTCTCCTTAAAGTCTGATATAAATGTCATGATGTCAGCTTTCTTTTGGTTAATATTACCTGGTATATCTTTCAGTGTTACTTCGTTTTCACCCTTTCTGGGGTTAAGAGGTGGTGTAATACAAAGGCTAAATGTATGGGCTCTAGGAGGGGCCTTCCTGGGTTCAAATCACACTCTCATTAGTTATTTAATCTCAGGCAAATTATTTCACTTCCTTATGATTAACTTTTATTATTATTATTATTTTTTGAGACAGGGTCTCACTCTGTTGCCCAGGCTGCAGTGTAGCTGCATGGTCACGGCTCTCTGCAGCCTCAACTTCCCAAGCTCAGGCGATTCTGCCAACTCAGCCTCCCAAGTAGCTGGGACTATAGGCACATGCCACCACGCCTGGCCAATTTTTGTATTTTTTTGGAGAGATGGGGTTTTGCCATGTAGCCTAGGCTGGTCTTGAACTTCTAGGCTCAAGCAATCAGCCTGCCGTGGCCTCCCACAGTGTCCTTATGATTTACTTTTCTTATCAAAACAGTCTCTGTCTCACTGGGCTATTGGGAAGATTAAATAGATAAATACGGCGTAGTCAGAACAGAACAGTGCTTGGCACATGGTGAGGACCACGTAAGTGTTTACTCATTGTGATTAGATACAGCTCTTATAGATAGTGTATTGCTGGACTTAGGAAAACAAGAATGATAATCTTTGCTTATTAGTTTAAGAGTTTGGCCCATTTACACTTGTTTCAATTATTGATATAATTTTATTCATTTATATAAGAAAAATAAAAAAACCATAATTTTAAAATAATTTTATTTATTCATATGATTTTATTTTGTACTCCTGTCCTATCTTGTCTCTCCATTCCCCCTGCCCTCATCCTTTCTTGTCTTTTATTGGACTGATTGAATTATTCTTCTCTCATTTCACTTTTTCCTCCCTCTAAAAGTTTGAAAATTATGCATTTTAGTTCTGTTATTTTGGTGGTTACCCTAGATATTTTAATATCTATATTTAACTTGACAGAGTCCTCTAGAACAGTAAAAGGACCATAAAACACTGTACTGTTAGTCATATCCCTCCAGGATTATGCTGCTTTTGTCTAGAATTTCGTTTCCAGCTTGAGCTTTTTCTTAATCCTACAAATTGAGTATCATTGCTATTGTTTGATACAGTCAGTAATTACTTAATTTTCACATGGCTGCCATTTCTTTGTTCACCATCTTTTTTTTGCACCTCCGACCTTTTGGTGGGAGGGATCATTTTCCCTATTCCTAAATGCTGTCTTATTAAAGAAGTTCCTTTCATGAGAATCAGTTGGTAACAGATTCTAACAGTTTTGGTTTATCAGTATATGTTTTTACTTTGCCTTTGTCCTTGGAAGAGTGGCAGGAGTTTCAGTGCTTCCTGAACATTCACATGCTCTTCCCCTCCCCTGCAACATCTTCCCTTGCAGCTGGGTGGAGCCCTGTGAGTCACTCTGGCTGATGGACTGGGAGCCGGAGCCACAGGTGTCATTTCTGGACTGAGGCACAGTGAGCATCTCCAGCATGACCCTTTAGCTCTTCTCCTTCTCTGGTGATTCTGCAGGCCATGTGTTGAGATGGTGGAGCCTCAAGATGTAGGCAGCCTGGATTGATGAGTCACTCACTGTATGGTACACAATGTCCTGGAGAGTCACTTGATTAATAGGAGATTTTGGACAAACATAAAATAAATCTTTGTGTAAAAAGTCGGTGATATCTTGGCTCAGTTGTTATTAGCCTATGCAGTCTCGTAAAACCAGAACTTTCCCTTAGGATATTGAAAATATTGTTGTATTGTTTTCTGGATACCATTACTGCTGTTGATTTTATGAAATTGTCATTCTTTTTGTTGATAATCTGCTTTTCTTTCCATCGACTTTTAGTGCTTTTAGTGTCTTTGGTGTGGAGGGAAGGCATGGCAGGAGGCAAATCTCCAAATTTTTCTTGGCCAACCCAGCTCTCTCCCCTCTTGCCTGCAATTCTCAGAGAGAAGGTACTGAGAATGCAACACCCTGAGATAAGCAGGAACCATCTGAAACAGGCTGGGATTTATCCATCCAGGACATCTTCCTAGAACAGGATATCCTGCAAAGCTTGGGCTCAGCAAACCATGTTGCCCCTGGGGTATAAAAACCAAAACACAGCCCTTTCAGGGTCTCTCGGCTGGGATGCGAAGTGAGGCACGTGTAGACAAGACTCCATCTGCCCTGGGCAGCTTTCCTGAACCCGAGGGACTGGTTTGCCATGGATCCTCGGCTTCTGTTTATCTTTGCTGCTCACCTGTGAGTTGTAAATCTGCTTTGCCTGACTTGTGTGACAGTTCCATCTCACCAGACTCACTGGGACAGCCGGGCTAGTGCAAAACCTCCTGCTAGACCTGGAAGCCTGCCATATCTAGGAACCTTAGCAGAAAATGCAAGGACTTTTGAGTGTTCCTCTAGGATTAGCAACAGGTACACAGTGTTCCCCTCACAGGGATTGATACTGATGTATGTTATTCTGCTTCACAGGCACTGTTTAGAGTTTTGCAGACTGAGTGTTCATTTCTTATTGTTTATTGTTCTTGAGATTCCTTGGTGTTGCTGAATCTAAGGATTGGTGTCTTTCATCAATTCTAGAAATTTGTTGGTCATTATTTCTACAAAGTGTGGCTTTTCTCTGCTGTTTCTATTATGTTCTTCTGATGTTCTAAAAACATATATTTTGGGTCTTCTTTCTTGGTGATTTATTTCCGTTGATACCTCTTTTTCATGTTCTCTGTTTGTCTCATTTTGTGTGCTATTTCTTAATATTTACTTTCCAGTTCACCAATTTTCTCTTTGAATCTGATACGTTATTTAAGTCATTCATTGAGTTTCTAATATCAATTATATTTTCCCTTTTTAGAAGTTTTGCTTGGTACTTTTAGGATCTACCTAGTGATTTTATAGTCTTTTGTTCTTCACTTAGATATTTTTCTGAAATTCCCTGGTATTTCTTTAAATGTAATAATAGATTTTTTTTTTTCTGTATCTGATGATTGCCATACCTGTTGTTTTTGCAGTACTTATTTTGTGGTTTGTAGCTTCTGCTGACTTTCTCATGGTGACTTACTTCCTCATATATTTAGTGACTTTTGACTGGGAGCTCAAGTCCCTTGTACTTCTTAGAGTTGTGTTTTGCAGAGAGAATTGGGAATTGACACTTTCCTTTGCCAAGATCTGGGGAAGCGCCAACTTGGGATTACTTTATGTAGATATTTGTCTTGGAAGTTTTGAGGCCATTCATAGAGTGGGAATTCAGACTCCAGATCTGAATGAGTGTGGGTGAGTGGCTAGGAATTTTCAGAAGGTATGTGATTGATTGATTGATTGAGGGATTGCTATTTCAGAACCAAGGCAAAAACAGGCAGTTATTCCCTCTGCCTCCCTCTGCAGGATGGGCTGTGCCCTAGTTCACCCATGGGGATGTGTTACCTTACAGGAATGATGACTTTCTCGAAGGGTTTCTGACGTGATCTCCCACCCTGACCAGACACCTGGCTACTTCTAAACCCGTATCACCCCATCATCTTCTGAACCTGATCTCAGCCCCCAGGGATCAGCATGGAGTCTCAGAAAAAAACCTCATTTCTGATGCTCTCAGGATTGTGCTTGTTGCTATCATCTTAGTCAGGCGTTCAAAAGAATGTTTGAGATGTCTCCCCCAGCAGCTTTAGGTGTTTGTACTGAAAGGCACTATCAGAAATGAAAATTTTCAAATACAGCCTATGTGGCAGGCTCTGTTCTAGGCATTGGAAATCCAGTAAACAAAAGAGACCACAATCTCTGCTCTCATGGAGTCTTAATGGGGGAAGACAAGACATTAAAAATATAAACGACTAAATATATAGTAATAGACAATGATTAGTGTTCAAGAGAAAAATAAGGCAGGTGAGTGAGTAGAAGAATGCCAGGGGCCAGGAATGGGGATTGATTTTAAAGAAGTTGATGACCGGAGGCCTTGCTGAGCAAACACCTGAGAAGGTGGGGGCCAGGTGTGTTTATGGCAGCGAAGGCTGCCCCAGGCAGAGGGAACATAATAATCCCCTTGTCTCCAAGAGGAAGTTAAAACTGCGTAGCTTGTCATTTACAACATGTACCCTAAAACTTAAAGTATAATAAAAAAAAACAAGCAAACAAAAAAATGCATAGCGTGTGCCTCCACTTGAAGACAGAGGAAGGCTTTTCTAAGGGAAGATGTTCTAGATGCTGTGGAAATACCGAGCAGCCATATTCTAAGCACTGTGGCTGCCTCTGCTTCGGGAACTTTCCATGGGGCACCAGGCTCCCTGCACAGTGCATTCTCTCTGTGCCAGTCACCAAATGCCAATGAATGCTTAACGGCCCGGTGTCACCCCTCCTCTTTCTGCCCTGTTATTTTTCTCCTCCTCACAGGTATATTTTCTTTCCTCACACAGTTTTTATCCACTGTGTTATTCAGAGCCTTGTGGTGTTTAAATGAACAAACTCGTCATGAATATGACATAAAGGAAGCTTTGGACCCTCATGGTGGCTGATGACACATATGCAGAGTTTCCCAAGGTGCTTAATTTTTTTTGTTGTTGTTGTTTTTTTGAGACAGAGTCTTGCTCTGTCACCCAGGCGGGAGTGCAAGGGCGTAATCTCGGTTCACTGCAACCTCTGCCTCACGGGCTCAAGCAATTCTCCTGCTTCAGCCTGCTGAGTAGCTGAGATTACAGGCGTCCACCACCATGCCCAGCTCATTTTTGTATTTTTAGTAGAGATGGGGTTTCATCATGTTGGTCAAGCTGGTCTCGAACCCCTGACCTCAGGCGATCTGCCCTCCTGGGCCTCTGAAAGTGCTGGGATTACAGGTTTGAGCCACTTTGCCTGGTCCCAAGGTGCTTAATTTAAAACATACAACCTTGCTGACTTGCATTGAACATGCCAGTTTCCCTGAAAAGTTTTATCAGAGTAAGCTAAATTATTTGGTCATCCTCTCATTTCACCCCCAGTACCCCTCAGGAATTCTATGTGGAGATGGAGAAAAGGGTTTCTGTTACAGGTCCCAGGGTTCAGGAGCAGCAGAATGACCAAGGCAAATCTGTTGGGGAACATCTTTGGCCTCCTACAGGGATGGGACCAGGACGTGTGGGCTTGGGTAGGGTCACTGCTCTGTTTCTTTCTGGCAGCCCCATGGCAGGAGTATCCTTCGAGAGCATCCCTTTGCCCTGTTGAATGCTGCTTTGACAGTGCAAACCAGCATCAAATCTGTTGCAGGAATGCTTTAGAAAAGGTATAGGAAAGACTTTTTTCACCCACCTTTCTAGTCTTCTTGAACAAAAAGGAAGGTTCAACGAGGCATGACCTTCCATTTCTTAGAGTGGCAGTGGTGGTGTTCTGATGTTGAATGGTAAAGTGCAGCGCCTCTCCAAGTTCTCCATATAAGTTGTCCTAACCAAACATCTCCGTTCCAGTCTGGCACCTGGGGGTTCAGCACACGGTGACCTACCATGTGGCCAACATGCATTTGTAGAAATTTGTGTCACGTGAAAATTTATGGGAGTTTTTCATTCTACTCAATGAGAGATTGCTGTATGTTTTGCACAGTGTTAGTCCTAAAACACATCAAGTAGAATTGTTGATCCAGAAGTTACAGCACATGTGGCCCATGGCCCTGCATGGGCTGGGTTCACCACCAGGTGCCTCCTGGGAGTGGGTGTCCCATCTGAGAAGCGCAGGTGGTGGAAAGAACCCAGGCCTGGGAGTCAGGAGGTCTGCATTCTAGCCCTGGCTCTGTCACACTTGCCGGAGGACCTCAGACTGCGATTTCTGGGCTTTAGTTTGCCCATCTGTAAAATGGGAGCATCGGGCAAGGTGATCTCCTTGATTCTTCCCAGCTTGATCATCCTGGAATGCACCACTCTAGGTACACCCCTTGGTTGCATTCTATTAATTTGGAAAGGATTTTCCATCAGAATCAAACACTTTCTGCTTGTTTTTAGCCCAGTAGTGGCATTTTTAGTGAAGTCAGTGGAAAATAGCTTCAGTTACTTCTAAATGGTAATAGGGAAAAGTAATATTCTTTTCCTATTTTAAAAGTCTCAGATTCTGAAACCCCACCATAAGTCTGAGTAACACAACTGCAGGCCTACTAGCATGCTTGGGATCTAAGGTAATGAGGCCACAACCTAGGTCCTAATTCCCTTCTTCCAAAGAGTATCCAGTAAATTCCTCATGCTTCACTAGCCTCTTGCCCCATGGGAAATGGGGAGTGAGATTCAACTATTTGTTTTTGGAGGCACAAAGTGGAAAAGACTTACCAAGGTTTGAATCAAGGTTGTCTTAGAGCCACAGGTAGAAGCAAGAGGGTCTCTTGACTTTGTCTGAAACTCTTTGACTTGGCACAGGAATGAAAGTCGTATCATTGAAGAACTCTTGATATGATGAGGTCATGTATGTGGAAGCTCTTGCACATGGTTAGGTACTGTATAAACATAAAGTACAAATATCAGTAGACTTTCATGTGCACAATGAGGAGTCTGCATTGCTGTTTTGATAAACAATAAATACTTCCCTCCTTCTCCCATAATCTATTCATGTTCGTTCTATTTGCATTGGTGTGCGAATTAGTCTCTTCCCCTTCAAACAAGTCAGTTTAGCTAGAAGCATTAAACATAATTAAGTAGACAGGCATAAGCGTCTTGCTGGCAGAAGAACAAAAAAAATCAAGGCAATTTGTTGGAAATACTGCCCCTAGAGGACACAGGGCCACTTATGGCTGCAGTGGAATGGTGGTATGGTACAGCTTCTAGGGACCTTGGGGATCGTTTAGCTCTTGAGCACCTGGTGAAATGTAGCTTCCTTGGCCTGAGGTGTTGGTCTGTCTAAGATATTTCATTAAAAAAAAAACATTTTGCATCTTCGATAGACGATGTGAACAAATGGAATGAACTGGCCTTCCCACTTAGCCCCTGCCAGCTTACTGTAAATGACTGCTGCCAGGTGTCACCTTAGCAGGACTGAACCATTGATCACGGCAAATGGAGCTGTAGGTAATTAAGTACATAATTTTAAGCCATTCAAGTGAAATTCCATAAGAAGTACATCATGAAACTGGGAATTATGTAGAATTACTGGCAAAAGGAAACCGAGTGTGAATACAGTCTTTCCCTAACACCTGATTCACGTCCAACATCACCACACAGAGTAAGTTTCTTTCTTTCTTTTTTATTTTTTGAGACAGGTCTTGCTCTGTCACCCAGGCTGAAGTGCAGTGGCACAATCATAGTTCACCACAGCATTAAGCTCTTGGGCTCTAGTGATACTCCCAGCTCAGCTTCTGGTGTAGGTGGGACTACAGGTGCATGCCAGCATGCCTGGCTACATTTTAAAATTTTTTTTGTAGAGGTAGAGTCTTGCTTTACTGCCCAGGCTGGTCTCAAACTCTTGCCTTCAAGCGACCTTCCCAAAGTGCTGGGATTACAGGTACCCATCATCATGACCAGCTAATTTTAAACAATATTTTTTGTAGAGATGGGGGTCTCACTATATTGCCCAGGCTGCTCTCAAACTCCTGGCCTCAAGTGATCCTCCTGCTTTGGCCTCCCAAAGTGCTGGGATCACAGCAGGGAGCCACTGCACCTGGCTGGAGAGTGTTAAGTTTCTATGTGACCCAGGACTCGTTATCTTCACAGGTATGGCTGTCTGATGGGGTATGCTTTTGGTTAGAACTGGAATCTGGGATCCTCCAGAAGGAAGAACAGTAGGGCTCAGCAGAGGAGCAGGAGGGCAGGAAGCAGTGACCAACGGGCTAGAGGGACATGGGGACTACAAAGGATGTCCTTGTCCTCTGTCCCAGGGCAGTGGGACAGAGCAGGGCCAGGCATCAGGGTGAGGCAGACCCATCAACAACAGTTCAGGTAAGCCTGGTGCCAGGGCACCCTACAGAGGGTGAAGCAGGTGGCAATGAGAGATCCCTGTCCTCCCTCCCCTTCTGGCCCCATGAGGCTGTAGAGGTTCTGGGGCTTAGAGAAAGGCCAGCAGTGAGTGGGATACTGGGTGTGGGGCCAAAACATCCCAAAGGCAGTGCCCAGTGGTGCAGCTTGAGGACGGGCCCACAGGCAAGCGTCAGCAGAGGGGAGCAGTCTGGCTGGAGCAACAGAACAGGAGTAAGAGAACAGAGGGGCTTTAACAAATGTTAAGGACAGGAAGAGACTCCTGTGACCAAGAGAGAGGCCACCTGATTGAAGCTTCTCCAAGGGGCCTGCAGCCTTGGATCTGGGTGGAGGGGAAGCCCTTAGGGACACGGAGCCTCTTTGGACACCTTCACGGGGAGGCCAGAGCCTCAGAGGAGTCCAGAGCCCTGTGGATTCCCAGAAAGACTCACACTGGTGCCCAGGGGCCTGGGATGCAAGAGCTGATCTTCAGGAGGGTTGCAGAGCTGGGCAGGACACCCAGCTCCCGCCCCAGACCCAACTGGGGATTTGGGTTCAGAGCAGGGCTTCCAGACAGAGCAACTGTCTTTTGCTAGGAAGGCCACATCCAGCAAGTGGAGCTCAGGGAGTGCCGCCAGACAGTCTTCCTCCCAGCACCCAGGTCTCTCTCCTATGCCTGGCTATGGGACCCCAGGTCCCTAAACTGAAGTACATTTTATGTCCCCAGGAGCCTGCCGTCTCCTGATCTTTGCCTTAGGTCCTCAGGGTGATTCATGCCACCCCTGGCTCTGATCTGGATTGTGGCAAAGCTCCTCGTCCATCTCCCACATTCACCATTGGCTCTGAGGTCCATTCTTCAGACCAAGGCCAGGGGCCTTGGTAAACAGCTAACCTAATCACACCACTCATCTGCTTGAAACTCTTCTGTCGCTGGGATAATTCCAGACACCTGACCAAGCCGAACCATCCAGCCCCTGTCTCCCTCCCAGGATCCCCTCCTGGCCTCGGAGCCTTCACCAGGGCACCGCTCCACACCAGGGCCTTTTCTGGCATCTTCGTCAAAGAAACACCTCTTTTCTACCTTGGCACAAATGTTCCTCCCTCAAGGCTACTGGCCCTCAGGCGCCCATGCCCTCTGGGCCTGCATTTCTCCAGTATCGCTTACTGTGGCTGTCATGGAACAAGGAGCTAGGCACAGAGCTGCTTCACGTCTGACTTCCCCAGAGGGTGTCAGGCAGCCGGATGAAGCAGGGCTGCTGTGTTGATCATCTGCCTGGTGCTGACCTCACCCCTTACGTGAAGAGCATTCACCAGCCAGGACTGGTGGGCCAATGAGGGGTCAGTGGTACAGGCAACACTACTCTGTTGAAGAAAGGGGAACCAACTTCTGACACACAGCAACAGGGGTGAATCTCAAAATGATCAGCCTGAGTGAAAGCCAGACACAGGAATACTTCTGATGCGGTTCCCTTTGTAGAACATTCTAGACATTTCAAATGAAATTGTTGTGACGGAAAGCAGGTTGGTGGTTGCTTGAGCCAGGGGGTGGAGAGGGAGGTAAAGTGTGTGGGTCAGGAGGGAACTTTCTGGGGTGATTCTGCACAGTCTATGTCTTTGCCAGGACAGTGATATCAAAGCTCATCAAACTGTATACTTTATTATTATTTTTTTCAAATTTTGTTTACCTTTTTTTTTAGTGATAGGGTCTTGTAATGTTGTCCAGGCTGGTCTTGAACGAACTCGTGGCCTTAAGGATCCTCCTACACAATGCCCTGGAGTGCTGGGATTATTGGCCTGAGCCACTGTGCCCAGCCCAAATTGTATACTTAAAATGAACGCAGCTTACTGTACACAAATTACACGTAAATAAAGTTGACTATTTTTTTAATTTAAAAATGTCACCAAATGGCATAATGCATGCTGATGACACACTCACTGCCTCTGTCATGACTAGACCTGAGCTGTACTAAGTCTGGTCCAGCGATAATTCCCCCTCCCCACCCCATTGAGTGCCATGCACCCTGCATGGTGTTTTACATGATTTCAATCAATGCATTTGACAGTCCTCTGAAGTGATGTTTCAGATGCTCTGAGCACTGCCCCTGCCAGCCCTCATCCACCGTTCCTGTTTGTAGGTCATGCTTAGCTTGTGGCCAGAGCCCATTGGACCCGGGTATGCCCAAGTGGGGCCAACCAGACCCTTTTCTTTGGTCATTTGCCCTGAGAGACTCAGAGCTCAGGTCCTATCATGTGTGCCTCAGAGCATCGTAGCAGGGTAAACGGAGGCCTCTGGAAGCTGGAACACAGAGAAGGGCTTGGGGAGGTGTTGAGAGTTATAGGCACTGGGTCTGGGGGCCGTCTGTCTCCCCCACGGCCCCCACTAGCTCTGCCTTGGGCCCCAGGAACTTCCTATGTAACCCACATTCGTCTCCAAGTGAGTGTCTGTTTCTGAGAACCAAATTAGTCCTCATAAAGTAGATATTCATATCTGCATTTCACAGGGGAGAAATGGAGGTTTAGGGAGGGTAAAAGACTTGTTCAAGGACATGTAGCTAATTCATATTTGATGTTTGTCAAGCTCCAGAGCTGTGTCCTTTACAGATGGGCTCTGGTGCCACCATAGTCCAAAGGAATAAAGTCAGTGTGGACTATGTGTTTCCCAGGCACCCTTCTCTGAGGTGGTGGCTGCCTCAGCAAGAGGAGGCCTAGGAGGTTGCAAAAACTGGCAAAGTGCTGACCTCACGAGTTCTCACTTCCTAGGCCGCTCTTCTGGTCCAGTTTAGATGAAATAATGTATGTAAAGGGCCTGGCATCCCATAAATGCCCATTAAATACATATGTAGGAAAGATACAAAAAGACAGAGATCATGAGCCATCAGCCGAGGTTTAGACGCAGAGCACAAGAGGAAAATGATGCTCTGCGGGGCCAGGGCTGGCAGGAATTGATGTAATTTAGTAGTAAAAGTAGCTCTGCCTTGATGTGAAAGCAAAAATGGTTCTAATTGTTTGCCGAAAGGATACTCCATTTATTTAAAGAAAGAAACACTCTCCTGTCATTAACTCTAATAGGGATGTGTTGTTAAGGCCCCTTTATAGTGACTCTGAACAACACAATGGACAGTGTATTCAAAAGCGGTGTCAAAAAATTCAGAAGCTGTCATATGTCCATTTCTTATAGCGAATTTGGATAAAAGTTAAAGCTCCATGGGGAGCTATTCTTTTCTTAGAAGGATGTAAGTACAAATTAATAATAACGATTCAGAAATATTCTATGTAGAGCAGGTGCACTGCCCACCGCCTGCCCCCACAACACTGAAGGTCTCCTCAGGGGCTGCCAGCAGGATGCCCATTGCTCTGGCCTTAGGAGGCAATGCCAGTTGCTACCATCTGGGAAACTGACTTCTAGCAAAGGCCATTGAATAGTCTGCTACTCACTCCCCTGGAGAGGAGAGGTCTGGCTTTCTCCACTCACCCAAGGGGGCCTGCTGAAAGGCATTTTAGCTGATGGGTTAATTCTGAGCCCCAGAGAGTAGAACCCAGCTGTGAAGTCTCAGTGGCTCCCTGCAAGGTGGCTCTTCCTATTAAGAGGAAGACCTGGGGCCGCGCCCCTCACGCTGACTTCTCACACTCCCACTGCAGTTGTCAGGGAGTATTACCCCAAGGAGCTGGGAAACAACTGTGATCCAGGGCCCAGTTCCTAGGGGTTCTGATGGGATTGGTCTGAGGAGGAAATCTGGGATCAGGAAATTTCAACGTGTAGCCTCGGGAGAGAACCACTGCCAAAGATGAAGTTCTCACCATTGCCCCCAACCCCTGAGGAGCTGACTGTCCCTAACAAAAACGCAGAAGCAGTACTAGGGATTTTTGTAAATAAGTAGATTTTAGCTGGTCTTATCAGAAAAAAAAAAGGAACTATGTGAGATGATAGATGTGATCATCTGTTTCACCATAGTAACCATTGTTCAGTCTGCTTGTTTCTATATGTTTCTGTGTGTCTATATCATCCTGTAATATCATGTTATAAACCTCAAATATGCACAATAAAATTCATTTTAAAAGTAAAAATTGAACATGCATTACTTTTAAAATAAAAGAAAAAATGCAGGCATGGGACACTGGGGAAGAGATTTTGCAAAGCTAGAATTGATTTTTCATCTCCCACGAGCAAAGTGAATAATTGTGCCAGTGGTCACAAGTTCTTTTCTTCATCAAAGAGAAAAAGGATAATCTATTTTCAGCATCCATCCACACATCCATCCATCTGCTCACTTTTCCCTCCCTCTCTCCTTCCCTCCCTCTCTTCCTTTTTTCCATCTTTCTGTCAATTCTTTACATCCATCCATCCATCCATGCATCCATCCATCCGTCCTTCCATCTATCTATCTTTCTACCCATTTATTTATCTATCCATCCTTCCTGCCATCCTTTCTTTCACCCTTCCTTTCTTTTTTCTTTCTTCCTTCTATCCTACCATTTGTCTATCCATTCTTCTATCCTTCTGTCTCACCCATATATACTGTGTTCACAGCTGTGCTGGGGGTAGAGAAGCAAGGCTGGGCAGAACATGGGGCAGGGATCTGAAAGTCTTTTGTTTCTCCTGGTTCTGCACCTCCTAGTCAGTTGGCTTTGGGCAGGTCCCTTAATAAAGCTGGGTCACAGGCTATCTGAGAAATGGGGGCATTGAACTAAAAATCTCAAAGGATCTATATTTCTAGATGTCTATGGATTTAGAAGACATGGACCCTGCCATCAAAAAGTTTGCAACATAGTTGGAGATACAAGACACATAAATGTAGCAAAAATATTTTGAGAGCACAAGTATCTCACTTAAGACAGATTCAGGGAAGAATCCCCACTGGCATGGCAACTGTTTTCCTCCAAGTTCTAGGGATATTTTATGTGCAAAGATGCCTGTCCCTGTGGAGCAGCCACAGCTGAATGTGTGACTTGGGTGGCTTTTGCAGGGGTGTTATAAGCTTGTGCTGTTGACCAGAAGAATCCAAAATCTGGAAATAAAGCCAAGGGGATGAAAGAATGTTTCCAGAGTCATACAGGAGCTTTGCTTCACAGGCTTGCCCAAGGATGATCTACTTTTCAGGAGGATGGGCCGTTGTTTGACTGCCATTTACTATTGAGGACTCAGATTCTATGGCATTCCATGTTATATTGTAGATGTTTGTCCAGTAGAGATGCAAATGATTCCCATCTAGTGAAAAGATAATCCACCGATTTATTGCCCTGTAGGACATGAACCGGTTTTGTCACAAACATTGAAAAATCGATTTCAGTGTGCCTTTCCCAGTGGGCTACATAAATCCCAGTGCATCAAATGCCATTTGACTAGCATTATTGACTCTCTGGCTCTCTCCTTAAGTGATGAGCTGAATAAAATCAAGAGCTTGCATTTGAAGGAAATCAAAATATTCCTCTCTAAAATACTGGGCATTTTAGTTAAAGTTAAAACACAGGGATATTCTCTGCCCTCCTATCTTTATCAGCTCAGAAACAGAGCTCAGAGACAGCAGTGCCAGAGGACCCAGGAGTGGACTTCACTCTTCCCATTAGTTTACTTTCCCTCATTTTCCCACCTTTTGGAAGCCTGAAGATACTCTCTTTCTTGTCTTGTCACTACATAGGATTTTTAGTTCTTTAGTGCTATTTAAGCAAGACCCCAAAGCCACTGCCTTGAGAGGGAAATCCTTTTGAACTAAGGCCTCTCCCGTGTGATGGGTACAGCAAGGTTAGTAAACTTCTGCTTTTCTCTTTCGTTAATCTGACTTTCGTTTTCAAGAGAGTGTCTCCACTAAGAATCTAAAAAGGCAAAGAAATTATGTTTTTCCCCTACATGTTCATTCTATTTTGCTTGCAAGCCATGGTTTTAATTTCCTTCAAAATTTCTCTTGGACATTGCTGGTCCACTGGTCCTGCCAGCCCCCTCTGGACATGAGCGTGCAGGAGAAGGCACAGCTCTGGGGAGGGAGGGGCCTTGCAAGGCCCACAGCTGCTCAGCAGCCCAGGCTCTCACAGAGGAGCCACCAGCCCCTCCCCTTAGCACAGCTTCAGTGCTCAAAAGGGCCCTGCTGGTGCGTGAAACTGGGAGGGAAGGTGCCTCCGACTCAGAAGCTCGGTTTAGCACTGAAAATCAAGCAGACACCTGGGACCTGGAAGAGCCAGGTGTATCAGACTGTCTGGCATGAGCTAGGCTTTTTCCTTGTTCCCCAACCTGAGCAGCCCCATGGTGGTTTTGTGGTAGAATAAGAAATATAGGCCAGGTGTGGTGGCTCACACCTGTAATCCCAGCACTTTGGGAGGCTGAGGTGGGTGAATCACCTGAAGTCAGGAGTTTGAGACCAGTCTGACTAACACAGTGAAACCCTGTCTCTACTTAAAATACAAAAATTAACCAGGCGTGGTGGTGTGTGCCTGTAATCTCAGCTACTCAGGAGGCTGAGGCAGGAGAATTGCTTGAACCTGGGAGGTGGAGGTTGCAGTCAGCCAAGATTGTGCCACTGCTCTCCAGTCTGGGTGACAGAGTAAGACTCCGTCTCAGGAAAAGGAAAAAAAAAAAAGAAAAAATATATATACAGGTTGAGTATCCCTCATCCAAAATGCTTGGGACCAGCACTGTTTCAGATTTCAGATTTCAGATTTTTTTCTTCAGATTTTGAAACGTCTGTATTATACTTACCAGTTAAAGATTTCTAATCTGAAAATCCAAAACCTGAAATTTTCCAATAAGCATTTCCTTTGAGTGTCATGTTGACACTCAAGAAGTTCAGAATTTTGGAACATTTGGATTTCAGACTTTTGGATTAGGGATACTCAGCTTGTATTTACTCTGCTGGCCACCATGAAAACCTCCATTAAAAACCCCAATGGACATTGTGCTGACAGCTTCTGGGTTGGTGAGCACAGGGGGGTGCAGGGAGGGTGGTGCACCCTGGGGAGATATGGTGGCCCCGAGCAGCTTCCTCCAGACCTTGCCCTGGGAATCCCTTCCATCTGGCTGTTCCTGAGTTGTATCCTTTGTAATAAACAGGTAACCTAGAAAACAAACTGTTTTCCTGAGTTCTGTGAGCCCCTCTAGGAAAGGATCAAACCCGAGAAAAAGGTTGTGAGAACCTCCATTTGTAGTCAAGTTAGACTAGTGTCGCGGGTAGCCTGAAGACCCTCTCCTTGCAGTTGGAGTCTGAAGTTAGGGGCAGGCTTGTGGGACTGAGTCCTGAACCTGTGGGATCTGTGCTGACTTCAGATCGAGCCAGAATTAAATTGAATTGTAAGACACCCTGCTGGAGAACTGGTCAGTGGGGGAAAAAAACAAAACCCACACATCTGAGTCACCGAAGTGTTCTGTGTTGACTGTGGTGTCAGAATTGAAGGGCTCTGGAAGTGTGGAGAGTGGAGAAAATGGTTTGTGTTTTCCTATTACACACCCACTCTGGAGGTTCTTAGGGTTTGCAGACCAGGAAGCAGAGAAAACCCTTCACATGGAAACCATTCCTGCCCATCCCTGGCTCCTGGGTGGTGGGAAGGCCCATTGCTAATGGGGCCAGGGTAGGCATTTTGAGTTCATTTAGCTTAGCCCTTAATGGAATCTTACTCAGACAGTCCTAAGCCCACCGGCAAGGCAATAAAAGTTGTCCCCACCCCTATCAAACAACTCATAGCATATTAATTTTGACACAAGGTAACATAAGTGATAGCAGAGATGGTGGGCATAAAATGGATGAAGTCCCCCCCGGGACAGCAGTCTGATAGTTTGAGGTAGGAGGCTTTACCATATTTATGTACCTGTCCCAGCAATTCTACTTCAAGGAAGCTATTCTAAGGGAACAACCAGAGATGAAGGTAAAGAATTTAGTAGTCATTGGAGTGTTAATTATTACAAAAATTGGAAAAAGCCAAAATGGTCCACAATAGGGGATTATTTTAAAAATGGATGCTGAGCCGTAAAGCAGAATGACATATAGCCATTAAAACTTAAAAAAAGAGAATTTTTAGTAAAAACAGAAATATTCGCTCTTAAAAAGCCCATCAGATGGACGTGGTGGCTCACACCTATAATTCCAGCACTTTGGGAGGCTGAGGTAGGAGGATCTCTTGAGCCCAAGAGTTTGAGATGAGCTGGGGCAACATAGTGAGACCCTGTCTCTAAAAAAAAAAATTAGAAAAATTAGCCAGTGCGCACCTGTAGTCCCATCTACTTGGGAGGCTGAGGTGAGAGGACTGCTTGAGCCCAGGAATTCAAGATTACAGGGAGTTATGATCACACCCCTGCTCTCCGGCCTGGGCAACAGGGCAAAAACTGTCTTTAAACAAAAGCCATCATAGGGTGCAGCAAACCACCACGGCACATTCTGCACATGTATCTCAGAACTTAAAGTATAATAATAATAAATAAAAAAGCCCATCATAAAAATCTCTTTATATAAGACGATCCCAATCTCCTCAAAAAGAGTTTCAATGTGCATGAAGGAGATGAATGGGAAGGAGCTATGAAGACGTCGTATCTAGAAAGCGAGAGAGCAGGGGGTCTTTCTGTCCTCAGATACTTTTCTCATCTCTAACGTGAGTACACATTCGATTTATAACAAAAATAAACACTGTAGAAAGGTCTTTGTTTTAAAGTCTGAAATATCAAAAGTATCCTTGTTTTTGAAATGTCACCCGCAGCAGGCCCTTCCTCCGCATCTGGTGCCTCTTTCATCTGCGTGTGGCTGTCAGAAGCAGGCCTTGTTTGAGGAATTCTTATGTAGCCAGCCTGGGGGTGTCCAGCCACCCAGGCCCTTTGCTGCATTGGCCACTGATGGTGAATTAATCCTCAGACTTGTGTTACTGGTGACAAACGATGATGTCACGTGTACATGGACACAATTTTAAGGGAGATCAGGCCCAGCACTCCCTTTCATCTTCCTCCAGCCCTTAGTGCCTCATGGGTGTCCTCAGTGGCAGTGGTACTGTCCCCAAGCTCCAGGCTATCTCCTGCTGCCTTTTCTGTTTGCTGTGCTTCTCGCTCTTTCCTGCGGCACCTTCTCGTCCACATATCTCCCCTGTGCTGTCCTCCCCTGACCACACAGGCCCAAGACAGAACTATACAGAAAAGAGCTCTGACTTCACCAAGCCCAACCATTTGTATTGCAAAGATAAAAGCAAAACAACTTACTTGGTTTCTGAGTCTAAAATATCTTTCTTTAGATCAATGGTTACTTTACAGCTTTCTCCAAGAACAATGGTGTTGGAGCCTTACTTGTTTAGGTTATTTTCTAGAATAAAGGAAGCATCAACATCTAATAGTCACTCACTAAGTCTCTGTAACACAGACAAGCCAAGGTCAAAGAGAATGCCATAACAATAACCACTTCTTAAGCAGTTCCTCGGTATCAGGCTAGATATTTCATAAAATTATCTCATTTTATCTTGTAATAAAGGAACATCACCTCCGTTTTCCAGATGAGCCCACCAAGCTTCTGGTGGTTAAGAAATTTGCCCCAGGTTATAAACTAGCCAATGGTAGAGGCAGGATTTTAACCCAGGGTCGTCTGCCCTCAACCTCAATCTTCCCCTGATGCCTCCTTACAATACTTAGCAGGATATTAGGGGTGAATGAAGAGCTTCTAGGCATGGCAACCACCAGAGACTTCTCTTCCCTGCCCTGCCAAGCTCTGAGGGCCTCCAAGGGTTAAGGAGCAGCCTCCCTTCATCACCTAGAGGGTCCCAGCATGCTGGAGCCCTTCCAAGTCTAGTAGCAGCCATGGAACGCCAAAAGAAGGGGAATGTTTCCCCTTGCCCCACTCATCCCATGTCTCAGCCTGGCACCTGGAAAGCAGAGCCTGGGACTAAATCTTATCACAGTACAAGCTGTGATCCCAGGGAGCAGAGCCAGAGAGGGGGCCTGACTGGGAAGAAGAGAAGGAGAGAAAGCCACACGGGGACACAGTCTCCATATGCCACAGCTATGGGCAGCTGAGGCTGCGTTCCCACGGGAGGCTGACACTGACCAGGGGTTGCAACGCCCTGTGCTTCTCTCTGTGTGTGTGTGTGTGTGTGTGTGTGTGTGTGTGTGTATGTGTGTGTGTGTAGAGGAGGTTCCCTGGGTCACTCCACTTCTCACCTCAAAGCAGCCCTGGGCAAGATAGGCCATGTGGGCCACCTATTTACACCTGCTGGAAGCCGGTTGAAGCTTGCACAGTAGCGGCTGGAGGAAGAGTGGGTCGCGAAGATTGGAATGGTGCACAGAGCTGCTGGCCACAGCCTCCCAGGTCCTGCCATAGAATCGTCTTTCTCCAGGACAGATTCAGCCTGGGTATCGGGCTAGATACTTCATAAAATTATCTCATTTTATCATGTAAGAAAGAGATATCATCTCCATTTTCCAGATGAGCCAACTGAGGTTCCAGGGGTTAAGAAATTTGCCCAAGATTATAAACTAGCCAATGGTAGAGGCAGGAGTTTAACCTAGGGGCCTCTGCCTTCAACCCCAATCTTATGCTGATGTCTCCTTACAGTATTTAGCAGGAGATTAAGGGATGTGCTCTTGCTTTAGAGAAAGCGTTGACTCTGTCTCCAGCCGAATGGTCACTTCTTCATCAGCCAACGTCCCGGCTGTTTTGTCTTAGATAACTCCACATATAGACCGTCAGGGCAGTCTAGGATGAATCAGCTCAGCTGGGGCCACTCCAGGCCCCCAGCTTTGGTTTCTGATTTGTTGGAGCAGCTGTTTGTGAAGGAACATTTTCATCTCCACCCAAACATACACTTGAAACTCTTTTTTTTTTTTAAATCAAATCAGCAAGGGCTGCAGAGTGACAACCCCACTTCGTCACCCCTCCACACCTGCTTCCCCAGACCCAACTCTCAGATTCTGACTTGTGGTTAATGGTCACTTGTTCATGTAGGGTGGGTTTCTTAGAACACAGGCACTATCAGCTCTTAAAGGGTGATTTGAGTCTCTACCTCTCAACTGCGTGCAGCATTAAGAAGCTTCTGCCAGCTTCATCTCAGTTTAAATGATCTTTGGTGTTTTACCCCGGCTTCCTACATAGTTATAGTGTAGAACACTTTCTTCTGGATTTAGCGATGGAACACAGCAACAAGGTCATGATTTGTCCAAATCTCAACGTTCATATTTATGTGATTAGATCTGAGGCTGTCATTATGCTGGTGCCATGAATATGGCCCCAGTAATACATTAGGCTTTGTGCCATGAACAGTCATTTTTTGAGTTCAGTTCATCCTCCCCTGTGGCAGGCAAGGAGGAGTGGGAGGTGAAAGGGGAGCAGGTTGTCACAAGCCTGTGAAGTTTCCCGAGACTAACGGGGCAGGGAGAAGAGATAATTCTTCCTCTGTCTTTCCCTCCCAGGTAAGGCAGGCTCCAGAGGCTCCCCTTGGGAAAGGGGTATCTGGGGTGCAGTGGACCTTCCTGTGCATATAGAGGTCCCACCAGCTACACAGAGAGTGCCCCAGCAGACTCTCTGGGCTGACTTTGGAAGGGCAAACCAAATTTTGCCAGCAGCTGCATTAAGCTGCTTGCACAGACCACTTTATTTTCCATGTAAGCTGGAATAATAGAAGTGGTTCCTTCCTTCTCTCTTTTTACATGTAAAATACTAATAGCTAAGACTTATTGAGTTGCTTATGCATGCCACAGGCTGTGAGACGTTTTGTGTGTTCGCTCATTCAAACCTCACCACCTCTGAGATGTGTCATTATCATCACCCCCAGTGTAACGGGGAGAAAGCTGAGGCCTGCTGAGGAAGGCCACGGCAGGGACTCCAGCTCAGGCAAGCCCGCCCTGAGCTCACTTCCCTCCCACCGATGTAAACTGCCCGGACAAAGCCTGTTTATTCTCTGAGTCTTCTTGTCTAAAACAAGACAGTCGATGTCGAAGGGGTCAGCTTCTCATGGCTAAGCTGGCCCTGCCTGAGAGAAGCAGGCAAAGGCAGAGTGGGAAGGGAAACATTTTAAAAACCCTCCTCTTTTTTTTTAACCAATTTACCATTTTAACCATTTTTTTTAACAGTCCAGTGACATTAAGTACTTTCTCGTTGTTACACGGCCTTCACCACATCCATCTTCCAGAACTCTGTCATCGTCCCAAACTGAAACTCTGTACTCCTTAAACACGAACTCCACATTCTCCCTCCCACAACCCTGGCAGCCACGATTCCACTTTCTGTCTCTATGAATTTGACTCTCTGGGTACCTCATATAAGTGAAATCATACTGTTACTTGTTCTTATGTGACTGGCTGATTTCACCGAGCATGATGTCCTGAGGTTTCACCCATGTTGCAGGAATCTCCTTCTTTTCTTTTTCTTTTTTCTTTCTTTTTTTTTTTTTTTATAGACAGAGTCTCACTCTGTTGCCCAGGCTGGAGTGCAATGGCATGATCTCTGTTCACTGCAACCTCTGCCTCCCAGGTTGAAGCTATTCTCCTGCCTCAGCCTCCCGAGTGGCTGGGACTACAAGTGTGTGCCACCACGCCCAGCTAATTTTTATATTTTTAGTAGAGATGTGGTTTTGCCATGTTGGCCAGGCTGATTTGGAACTCCTGACCTCAGGGGATCTGCCCGCCACAGCCTCCCAAAGTGCTGGGATTACAGGCGTGAGCCACCGCGCCCAGCCAGAATCTCCTTCTTTTTAAGGCTGAATAATGTTCCATTGTATGTGGAGCACGTATTGTTTGTTCCTTCTTTCACCAGTGGACACGTAGGTTACTCCTTCCTTTCACTATTGTGAATAGTGCTGCTGTGAACATGGGTGCACAAGTATCTCTTTGACACCCTGCTTTCAATTCTTTCAGGTGTATCCTCCGAAGTGGAATATACTCACATGGCAATTCTATTCTTAATTTTTTGAGAAACCACCATGTGATTTTCCACAATGGCTGCACCATTTTGCATTCCCACCAACAGGGTACAAAGGTTCCAGTTTCTCCATATCCTCACCAACACTTGTTGTTTTCTATTTTGTTTTGTTTATTATAATAGCCATCCTAATGGGTCTAAGGGTGGGTCCCATCACTTTTGAGTCCCATGTGGCCCACTATTGTAGAATGGGGCTTGCATTTGTAAAAATTTCTGTTTTTCAAATTAAAAATTAATAACCTACCATTTTCACTGATTTATACGTAAAGTCATGAGAGGATGTGATTGTCACATCACAGATGAGGAAACTGAGACTCAGAGAAATGAAGCGATTTCACTGCCTCTCAGACGTCCAAGATGAAAGAACATCTAAGAGGCAGTGGCGGGCCCAGCACCGGGACACTCGGGCCACCCTGGCAGGGCTTGTCACTACCTCCGTGCCAGGCAGGGGTCAGCCGTTTACTGAGTTGTCCCATCGATTCCTCACACCAGCCTGGGAAATTAAGCATTCACGCCCTCACTTTACAGGCTGGAAACAGAAAGGGAGGTTAGGAGGAGGTCAGCATCTCCCACAGGGAGGGCAGGGCCGGCTGGCTCCTCCAGCCCTGGTCCTAGGAGCACTTCCAAGGTTTCCTTCCCAGCTGAGATCCAGCTGCTCACTGAAAGTCAAGCAGGATAAAGAAAATCAAGTGTTACTCACTGAACAGCAGTGAGAAGCGTAAGGGACAAAGGAAGGCCACCGAGTCGGGAATATCCCACTGCTATTAGCCAGGTCTCAGTGGTCTGTCCCAGAGGGAAGAAATGTAACCTCTGAGTCTTGTTTTCTTCGTGTTCAAGCCAAGGAAGCCAGTTGCCCAACCTCCCAGGTGGCCCAGAGGATTTAATGTAAGTAGCCTAATACAGGACCTGGCTCAGGCAAACATTACTCTCCTTCTCCTTCCCCTTAACAGGGGCTGAGTCCTGGCCGTGTCTGCCCAACCCCAGACAGAAGCGGCATCCCAGCCTGGGAAGGGAGAAGGGCCACAGAGTGTGGACTCATGAGAGGATGATTTAGGGCCAGCAGCAGTGTTCTCGGTGTCATTTGGCATGCCACCATTAGTCAGCTTCCACCAAGTGCCAGGGCCCTATAAATAGCTGCAAGGGTGACATTGCTAAGGCTTCTGCCTTAGAAACTCTCTGCAAAGGACACTGGATCACCCAGGAAAGTGTATTTGTATTCTAGGCAGATATAGAAGTTATGCCACTGAAAATAAAGATTTTATGTATTTGTACATATCTATCCTATAAATAAAATTTATATCCACCTTCCGGGGGTCCAGTCCCACCAGCTCAGTCCTCATTTAATCTGTATGGTGGTTATTAACAGTGTCTGGGAACGAACTGCAGACCTCTCTGAAATATCATCCTTGTCAGTCCCAGGCCTTTCGAGCAGAGCGAGATCTCCTTACTGGGGAATTATGGCGTTCATATTAGCACGCCTGCTAAGAAATTCTTATGCTGCGATACACACTTCCCTGAAGTGTTTCATGGAAATTAGATTTCGGGAGAACAAAATCACAGAGGGCTCCAAGGCTGCAGGAGGCGGGGATCCCTCTTTGTTACCGGTTTGCCCAGTAATTAATTTCTTCCCCAGCTCAATTTGAAGGAAAAGATTGTGCTCATTAATTTATCGTCCACCTGTTCCTGAGGATTATTTTGATTGCTTTTTAACAGGAGACTTTGTATTCAGTAGGGAGATTTAATATCATCCCAAGAGCTGGCATCTGAGTGCAGCGAGCCATGTTATTCTGAGTGATTTCCACCCAAACAAAAACAAGCGCACTCGGTGACTTTCACAGCAAGGCCCTGTCATTCGAACCCTCTGTGCAGAATCTCACGGGGCACCTCCCTTGGTGCCCTCTGCCCTGCCTCGCTCCCTTCTGTGGAGTTTAGGAAGATATTTTGGGGTATCTGGCTCATCCCATATCCCCTTGAGAGGTGACAGCGTGCTGGCAGTCCTCACAGCCCTCGCTCGCTCTCGGCGCCTCCTCTGCCTGGGTTCCCACTTTGGCGGCACTTGAGGAGCCCTTCGGCCCGCCGCTGCACTGTGGGAGCCCGTTTCTGGGCCGGCCAAGGCCAGAGCTGGCTCCCTCAGCTTGCAGGGAGGTGTGGAGGGAGAGGCGCGAGCAGGAACTGGGGTTGTGCGCGGCGCTTGCCGGCCAGCTGGAGTTCTGGGTGGGGTGGCTTGGCGGGCCCCGCACTCGGAGCGGCCGGCCGGCCCTGCGGCCCCGGGCTGTGAGGGGCTTAGCACCCGGGCCAGTGGCTGCGGAGGGTGTACTGGGTCCCCCAGCAGTGCCAGCCTGCCGGCGCTGCGCTCGATTTCTCACCGGGCCTTAGCTGCCTTCCCACGGGGCAGGGCTCGGGACCTGCAGCCCGCCATGCCTGAGCCTCCCACCCACTCCATGGGCTCCTGTGCGGCCCGAGCTTCCCCGACGAGCACCACCCTCTATTCCACGGTGCCCAGTCCCATCGACCACCCAAGGGCTGAGGAATGCGAGCGCACGGCGCAGGACTGGCAGGCAGCTCCACCCGCAGCCCTGGTGCGGGATCCACTGGGTGAAGCCAGCTGGGCTCCTGAGTCTGGTGGGGACGTGGAGAGTCTTTACATGTAGCTCAGGGATTGTAAATACACCAATCAGCACCCTGTGTTTAGCTCAAGGTTTGTGAGTGCACCAATCGACACTCTGTATCTAGCTGCTCTGGTGAGGACGTGGAGAACCTTTATGTCTAGCTCAAGGATTGTAAATACACCAATCGGCACTCTGTATCTAGCTCAAGGTTTGTAAACACACCAATCAGCACCCTGTGTTTAGCTCAAGGTTTGTGAATGCACCAATCGACACTCTGTATCTAGCTGCTCTGGTGGGGCCTTGGAGAACCTGTGTGTCGAAACTCTGTATCTAACTAATCTGATGGGGACGTGGAGAACCTTTGTATCTAGCTCAGGGATTGTAAACACACCAATCAGCACCCTGACAAAACAGGCCACTCGGCTCTACCAATCAGCAGGATGTGGGTGGGGCCAGGTAAGAGAATAAAAGCGGGTTGCCGGAGCCAGCATTGGCAACCCTCTTGGGTCCCCTTCCACACCGTGGAAGCTTTGTTCTTTCGCTCTTTGCAATAAATCTTGCTACTGCTCACTCTTCGGGTCCACGCTGCTTTTATGAGCTGTAACACTCACGGCGAAGATCTGCAGCTTCACTCCTGAGCCCAGCAAGACCATGAGCCCACCGGGAGGAATGAACAACTCCAGACGTGCTACCTTAAGAGCTGTAACACTCACTGTGAAGGTCTGCAGCTTCACTCCTGAGCCAGCGAGACCACGAACCCACCAGAAGGAAGAAACTCCCAACACATCTGAACATCAGAAGGGACAGACTCCAGACGCGCCACCTTAAGAGCTGTTAACACTCACCGTGAGGGTCTGCGGCTTCATTCTTGAAGTCAGTGAGAGCAAGAACCCACCAATTCCGGACACACCCTGTTTCCCCCACCCCTCTTTTGTACCAAAGACACGTGAGTCATAAACATCTAGAATGTTTTGTAAAAGAACCAGGCCAGGCTGGGCAGGGTGGCTCATGCCTGTAATCTCAGCATTTTAGGAGGCTGAGGTGGGCGGATCATTTGAGGCTAGGAGTTTGAGGCCAGCCTGGGCAACACGCTGAGACCCATCCCTATAAATGAAAAAAAAAAGGCCGGTTGTGGTGTTGCATTCCTGTAGTCCCAGCTACTTGGGAGGCTGAGGCAGAAGGATCACTTGCCCACAGGTTCAAGGCTGCAGTGAGCTTTGTGCCACTGCACTCCAGCCTGGGCAAGACCCTGTCTCAAAGAAAAAAAAAAAAGTGGGCCAATATTAAGCACAAGTAAAGAAAGCATACAAATACTTTCTGTGGCAAATCTGATTATCTGTAGCAAATTCAGAGGGCTTCAAACCACCAAATGAAATCTCACCCATCACCTCATTTTAAACTGTTGGTTATTTTTATTTAGACACAGGAATTATAGGTTGGTAGCATTCAGAAAATTATATTTAACCCTCATTTAGATTCAATCTGAATCAATTTAATGAAATGTGAATACTTTTCTAGATTTACAGAGAGAATAAAAAGAAATTTAGACCAGAGAGAAAAACATCTGATGTCTTTTCTATACCCAGGAGATATAATACCAGGCTTTTTTGCTGGTTACTAGGGCTATTTTCCTCAACGGTAATGGAGGGGAAAAGCCTAGAATCCCAGGAAAACATAGGTTGGGATTCAGGAGAGGCATGGGTCCTGCCATCCAGTTATTTCCCCCACAGATACCAATGGCCCAGGCGCTGTGCCAGCCCGGGAAGAGTCAGCAGCAAGCAGACCTTATTCCTTCCTCCTGCAGTTTCTAGTGTAGTGAGAGGCTGATGTTAGCTGAATTATCACAACAGATATGAAACTGCAAGGTACTACAGGCTGTAAGAGGAAATTTTGCCCTAACCTAAGAAAGTAGGGAAAGCTTCAGCAGCAGAAACCACAAGGACGAATGGTGTGGACTAGAAGAAAGTGGGTGGGGATGACTGCCTGAAGCAGAGAATAGCATGTGCAAAGGCACTGCGGCCAGCCAGAGGGGATGCAGTACAAAGGTCAATGTGGGTAAGATGAAAGCAGGTTTGGGCTCAGTCTGTCAAATACCTGGGGAGGTGAGTGGGGCTGGACTGTGTGGGATTTTGATTACGCCAAGTGGTTAATTTGATTTTAACCTTGAACATCTTGTAATCTGGACCCAGGCTGCCTGGGCATGAACCCTGGCTCTGCCACACACTCCCTAAGAGAACTTGGGCATGGCCTTTCAACCCCTCTGGGCCTCAGGGCCCTCAAATGTGAAGTAGGGGTAATAATACCACCTCTTCTGATGGTTGGTGTGAGGATTAAATTAGTTAATATATGGAAAGGGCTTAGGACAGTCCATGGAACATACTATACATTATTATTTTCTTTCATTATTATCTTTAACTAAAGCAGTTCTCACCAAGTCACCTCTAAGTGCTTTTTGGCTCTGATGTTTTAGATTTCTAAGAACCTTTTTGAAATATTCATAGTACAGTTGACCTTTGAGCAACACGGGTTTGAACTGCCCAGGTCCACTTATATAGGGATTATTTTTTCACCTCTGCTACCCCTGAGACAGCAAGACCAGCTCCTCCTTCCTCCTCCTCAGCCTACTCAACATGAACACAATGAGGATGAAGACCTTTACAATGCTCCACTTCCACTTAATAAAAAATGTATTTTCTTTTCCGTATGATTTTCTTAGTAGTATTTTCTTTTCTCTAGATTACTTTATTATAAGAACACAGTATATAATACACAAAACATACAAAATATGTGTTAATTTACTGTTTATGTTATCAGTAAGGCTTCTGGTCAACTGTACCCCATTAGTAGTTAAGCTTTTGGGGAGTTAAAATTTATACATGAATTTTTTACTGCGCAGGGTCGGCACCCCCGAGCTCCCGCATTGTACAAGGGTCAACAGTAACTCTCATGCTGGAGAAATGCAAAGGTGACGATGTCACTCATTATGTGCAGTGCAGAGTGAAGCCACGGGCTGGGATGAAGGGGCCCAGGGGAAGTGCGTGCAGTAGGAGGAGAGGGAGGTGGTGGGACCCCCTCAGAATGACCCAAACTGAGGGAGCAGAAAGGAGAGAAACCAGTAGCAGAGATGGGGAAGAATCAGCCCAACATTATTGAATACTTGTAACTCTTAAACTCAGGAGGATGTAGTGTTGAGGGGGGCAGACACTGGTGACAACTCCCATTTGATGAGGACAGAGGGTGGGGCCATGGCTCTGGGGATCTGGAGTTCACTGTGCCTGGGCCTTTCCAGCAGCTTCATACAAACTAGAAAGAGACACCCTCCTCAGAAGCCTCATGTTCCACTGGTGGGGAATCATTATAATTCAGTGATGTAATTGGAACTGGACCCCCTACAGCCATCTGCCTGGCCACTGGTGTGGTAAATATACACATGTGCACAGCTCTGCTGTGACCATCATCCCTTAGCCTTGGTACTCCCAGCTGGGGGCAACCAACCCACAGACAAACTCTGAGAAAACAGCTTTGGAACCAATCTGACTCAGGGAGATCACGATGGGAGGCAAGGAAGCAGAGGAGAGGTGAATTCAGGTCACTCTGTCAAAAACTCAGGCAGGGAAGAAAGAAAGCAGCCAAGTGCTAGTTTGAGGCTGAAGCTGGACTGAGGCTGTAGAAATTGTAGGCATATTTGTAGACTGAACAACAGGAGCCTGTGGAAAGGTGGAGAAAGAGAATTGAGAGCCAGAGAAGAATGTTCAATGGTAAGGATTGCAGCCCACAGAGAGGTTCTCAGCTATGGGGCCTCTGCCACCCAGAGAGCTGCAAGACAGCTGTGCAGAGGGGAGGGGTCTCTGCAGAACACGTTTTCATTATTTGCTTTTAGTACGTCTGCCTCGAAATGAGACTCCAAGGATCTGACTGAGACATGGAGAAAGGGCTCTGGGCAAGCAAGTTGAAAAGGAAATCAGAGAGGGTGTGGTCCTCATAAATCTGTCCATCAGCAAACACTTATTCAGTACTTGGGATGCTGTTTTCAAAGTGAGATCCTGAACCATTTGCATGAAAGTCTCTTGGACTCGCAGGGCAGATTCACATTTCTGGGCCTCACCTGAAACTTTGTGAAGGCAGAATTTCCCCCATCTCCCTGGATGATTCTCAATCAACCTGCAATTTGGGATTCACTGATTAGGTAAGGCAGGACACTGCATGGCAGAGGCACAAAGGACCTGGCTCCTGACGGAGAAAATAGTGATTGATACGAAAAGGGAACTTGTGACTCTGTATACTAGAAATTTCAGGAGGGATTCTCAGAGATGGCACTGTTTTCACTGGGTGCCAAGGCTAGTTGACAGAGGGCATCTGGAGGTTAGGGAGACAGCAGTCAGGCAGGAGACCCAGAGGGCCCATGGATGGGGAGCATACAAGCTTGTCTTTGAGACCTGGGAGGAATTCAGGAAACAGAAAGGGAGGGTTAACAAAGAGGCAGAGGTGGAAATTAGAGGGTTCTTCTCAAGGAATACTAAAGAGTTCCGCTTGGCATGACAGTTTGTAATGAAAATGGGAGACAAGGTGGAAAAGTGAGTTCATGCTAAATCATGACAGGCTTTGAAGGCCAATTGAAGGAGTGGCTTGATGTATCTTGGCAGGCCTTTTTGAGTGCCCTCTCTGGGCTGGCACAGGGCTGGCTGTTGTCCAGTAGTGGAGACAGATGTATACACAGGTAATTGTTATTCTAAGCATGAGCAAAGTAATGTACAGGCCAAGGTGGAGGAAAGAGTCGTGGACCCTCTGTGGGCTTGGGGCAGCTTCCTAGGCAGGGCACAATTCCTATCCCTGAGTTTCCAAATGGAAACAAACACCACACACATAACACTACACACATGCACAAAACACACATGTACACATACACACAACACACACAATATATACAACATATACATAAACACAAGTTCCACACATGACACATACAACACACACTACCTACATGCAACACAACATACATATACATATAACACAAACACACAACACACATGAACACATAACTCATACCACACATACATGCACACATATACACAAACACATATACACAAACACACATATACACAATACACATACACTTGACACACACATGCACACACATATATAACACATAACATACACAACACTCCCAAACACACACACACACACATCCCACACGCACAGTTTCCCTGTAGGGCCATGTGTGGAGTTTGTAGAGTGGAAGGATGCCAACCGAGTGAGTGACGATGAGTTTCCCTTCGCAGCTCTTCCACTATCTTGTGCCCTTCTTGGGCACTCTGGACAGCCCTGGGCCTCCCCTCCTGGGAGAAGAGGATAGAGCTCGCCCCAGTGGTGTAGATGGCACAGCCCTTGCCAGTTCTAGGCTTCTGAGTCAGCATGTCTATGAGAAAAGTGAAACACGACCCACTGCCAGCCATCTAAGGAGGCTTTGCCTAAAAGTTTGCTTAAACCTGGCTTCCTGGTTTCATGCCTCTGGAGCAACTGTTCCCAGTGCTCTGATGGACAAGCACTGGCCAATCCCTGCACAGATATGGGAGGCACGTGACTTCTTTAAAGGGTAGGTTCTCTCTAGGGCACAACACCTCAGTTGGACCTCAGATTCAGCTGAAAGTCACAGGTAACTTCTTGGCAGCAAGAGATAGTGGCGGAGTGGGAATTCTTCCTGGGCTGGAGCAGGGCCATTCCTCACCGGGCACCATGAAACTGGAATAGGGGGCACTCTTGTGTTGGCATCACACAGGAAACATCCCCGGGGAGTTGGAGGGGAGCTCTGGCTTGACAGTCAGCATCCTCTCCACCCAGTGCTATCTGGAGATTCCAGCTCTCCATATTAATTCAGCCAACAATTGTGCTATGCTAGCTGCTCCATTCTATAAATATTTACCAGCAATCCCTGGGAGCTGTCCCCATGCATATATTTCCTGCCCATTACTGTGGCAACTGTTCTCTGTGTGGGCATCATAGAATGCTCTGGTAGGATGCCTTCTTGTAGGATAGATGTACGATGCTAAATGGTTTCAGTGAAGAGGACTTTATGGGAAAACACGGGAGGCAGAGTGTTGTCTGAGCAAATTCATTTGTCACTTTACCTGGAGGAGGAATGCTTTGCTCAAAGGAGCCTATGAGACAGCTCTGCAGTCCTTCATCTTTGTCCCTCACCACCTTAGCAGATATGTCACAAATGTTCTTGTTGCTTTGAAAGAACCAATTTCATTTACTCCTTTCGCTCATTCTTTAAGCAAAGCATGCAAGATGTGGAGCATGCATCAGCCTGGTCTCTGCTCGTGGAGCTCAGCCTAGTGAGGGAAGCAGGTCGGTGTCATAAGGGCATGAGCAGGTTGCTTTAGGAGTAAATATGTAGAGGTAGTCATCCCTGGAGAAGGTGGGCTTCTATGCCTGGATCCAGGCATAGAAGTGGGGAGACATTCTGCCTGAGACTCTCCGAGGGAGGTGGAACACAGCCTCCCTGTGGGACAGGTCAAGGCGAGCTGATGTTGATGTTCTGGTGGTAGGAGAGATACCATGTCTCACCTTTAGAGGATGGGGACTGCGCAGCTCTTCCTCCTGGGAGAGTAGAGCAGGCCGAGCACAAGCAAGAAGTGACCTGTGCAGAGTTATTGCCTGGGCCCCACCACCCGCGTTCTACCCATGGCATGGTCTCACCTGCCTCAAGCATCCTGAGAACCTGTGCCGTCTGTCTCAGCTCTTCTCACCATCCAAATCCATGACCACTACGGAGCCAAGAAATGTGCGCTCACTAAGGTGTGGGTGAGCAATCGCCCCTTCACCGATCACCACCAGAGAGTTTGCTCTTCTCTGGTTGCAGAGAGCCCATGAGAATACCTAGGCAGCAGGGCAGGGGCTGTAGGGCACTCCTAGAGCCTAGGGTGGCTATCTGTGAACTGTCCTGATCCAAATCACGGTGACAACTCAGCCACATAAAGCTCCAGGTCTCTTCCCAAGTGACCAACGGAAAGGATAGGAGAAACTAACAGTTTTTGAGGATTTGTTCTGAATTTGGCTCCTTAATAAACATCTCCTCATCACCATTCATTCTTCGATTTATTCTTTTACTTGTTCATTTATTTATTCACTCATTCATTTGACACATTTTTTTTACTGAGCAGTTATTTTGTGTGCTGGGCACTGATCTAGGCAGTCACCTTCCCTTGAGGTTCCGCCATGGAAGGTTAATATTGTTTGGATCTGTGTCCCTACCCAAATCTCGAGTTGAATTGTAATCCCCAATGCTGAAGGTGGGGTCTGGTGGCAGGTGTTTCGGTCATGGGGGCAGATCCCGGGCTTGGTGCTATGTTTGTGATAGTGAATTCTCACGAAATCTGGTCGTTTAAAAGTGTGTGGCACCTCCCCCACCCCATTCTCTCAATTGGTCCCGCTTTCACCATGTGAGCTGCAAGCTCCCGCTTTGCCTTCCACCAAGAGTAAAAACTTCCTGAGGCCTCCCCAGAAGCCATGTTTCCTGTACAGCCTGCAGAACCATAAGCCAATTAAGCCTCTTTTCTTTATAAATTAGTCTCAGGTATTTCTGCATAGCAATGCAAGAACGGACCAATACAAAGGTCATTCCCATTCTGTGCCTGCCATATCTGCTCAGCATCCAAAGGCCCCCTGGCTTCAGGTGGTCACCACTTACAGAGAGTGTTGAATAACCAGACAAAACTTCCTGCCCTCCCCAAACTTATTCACCAGAGGAGAGAGACAGACAGTAAATCCTCAAGGAAGAAAACACTTACGGAAGGTCAGTAGGGGTAAGTGTTAGCAGGAAAATAAGCAAGGAATGAAACTGTGAGATGTGGGCGTGATGGGGAATTTTAGATCGGGTAGCCAAAAGGTGAATTTTGGGAAAAGATGGGAAGTGATGAGGGAGAAAGCCACGGGGCCAGCTGGTGGGAGAGCAACTGGGGCGAAGCTAACAGCAGGTGCACAGGCCTGAGGCAGAGAGCACCTGGCATGTGCCTGGAGGAAGCCAGGGTGCCTGGAGCAGAATGAAAGTGCTGGGGATGCGAATGAGTTCAAAGAAGCAATGGGGGCGAGGGGCGCAGAGTCAAAGAGGATCGATTTCATAAGGAATTTGAAGCCATTATAAGTGCAGGCATTTTCTCTCTAAGTGAGATGGAGACCCAGTGCAGTGGTTACACGCCAGCAGAATCCCTCTCCTGTGGGGCTGTGATAGGTTGGGTGTTGTGGGGGTGGCCTGATGGGAAGGGCAGAAGTGGGGAGATCACTTAGGGAGTTCTTGCAATGATCCAAGAGGCTTGCTTCCAGATGGTGGTAGTGGTCAAATTCTGGATATATTCTAAAGGTGGAGTTCTCTGGCCATACAGATGGACCAGATGTGAGGAATGACTCAAAGAGAAGCATCAAGAACGGCTCCACAGGTTTTGCTGAGTCACTGGAAGAGCTGAGTTAACAGAGAAAAGAAAGGCTGCCCAAGTGCTCATTTGAGAAGGGAATATCAGGATCTTAGTTTGGATCTTGTGAAGTTTGAGGTGACCCATCGCCATCCAAGGGGAACGGGGAAGCAGGCAGTTTGGGCAATGGGTCAAGAGGTCAGGGAAAGGTCTGTGCAGGAGATGCACATTTGGAAGTCATGAGCATAGAGATCGTTTTGGAAATCATGATTTGGCAAGAGATCATTTAGTGAGTGAGGCTGGACCAAAAGGAGGAAAGGCCCAAGGTCTGAGTCGAGGGCTTGGCAACACCTGGGGTTTGGGGAGACAAGACTGAATCAGCAAGACAGTCTGAGAAGCAATGGCCAGAGAAATGGGAGGGGAGCCCAGCCAGGTGACATCCCTGAGGCCCAGCAAGGGGCCCCACATGCTGATGAGCACCCAGGGGAAGGTGTTCTGAGGAGCGGCAGAGGGTGTGAGTCACCAGTGACCTTGGGGTGGTAAGGACAAATGCCTGACTGAGTGAGTTCACTAGAAAGTAGGAGGAGGTAAGCAGAGACAGCAGGCATTGCCTCCTCTTTTCAGTAGTTCTGCTGTAAAGGGAGAGGAAAAATGGGGGCAGGAGCTGGAGAGGAAGTGGGGTCAGGAATAGGTCCTTAAGACCAAGAGAAATCACATCAGGTTGGCGTCACAGCCACATGGCAGAGATGCAAAGGTGCACCTGCTTGCAACAAGGAAGGGCTCAGAGGATGTACATCTGGATCAGGGTCTCATGTCTACAGGTGGGGAGCTGGGGCCTGAACCAGCACTGCACTGCATTTTTAAAGAATCTTGCTACTACCAGGAAGCCATGGAGTTTTGTTGAAAGAGAGCCTGAACTTCCGCCCTAAGTGACCCCTCTCTTCTAAATCTGTTGGAAGTTCTCCTCCTCTAGGAAGTCCCTCCTGACCATTGCGGCTTGGTCCCAGGCACTCACATATGGAAGCCCTGCAGAGCTGCCACGGGTACCAGCCCAATGGTGTGTATGTGACTTGCACTGAAGTCATCTCTGCAGCTGAGTCTTGATGCGGAGCACCTGGAAGGCAGGGAATATGCTGGCTATTTTGCTGTTTTCTTTATATCTCCTGGAGCTATCTACCCCAGTCTCCTTCCCTTCCCCCTACACACACACACACACACCACACACACAAGATGTTTAAAGAGTTATTGGGCTTTAAAACAGAAATCAGCATTCAGAACCTCTGCTTTCATGAGGAAAGGCCTTGAGGGCAGTGGAGGAGGAGGCTGGACTTTAGATCCTTACTTGGGGTGGCCAGAGTAGGTTCCTGGTTATATCGGCTCTTCTTTTTGTCATCCAGTTCCTGCAACACAAAGCCTGGTGAGACATGAGGAAGCCCCTTGCTAGCATATGCTTTATGTGTTTTCTAGTTCAAGAGCAGATTGGTCATCAATCTTGCCTTTTGTTTTATTCATTTTACTTTTCTTCTTTAAGTAATCACTTACAAGTTGTTTGCCCTGAAAGCAAGTTCTTATGTGTTTATTTATCAAAATAACAACAACAATTTATCCAAGGTCAGAACAACATAAACCACAAACTGCAAACGAGGGCATATTCCCATTTCACAGGTGGCAGAACTGAGGACCGTGAAAGGCGACATGCTCTTGTTGGGTGGTGGACCCCAATGTCAAACAATAAACTAGATCTGAGATGGAAAGCTGGATGTATTCAAAAGCTCCAGGCCAGCCTATATTCAGAGAGGAAAGTTGAGATCCATAGAGATCTATTCCTGCTCTTTTCCCCAAGTTCCAATTTCTTCTCCAGGGCTTCTAGTTCCCTTTTGTAATTCTTCCTACATACCTGTGATTAACTTTTTTTCTCAATTGAATATTTCAGCTGAAATGAGGAGGAACACCATTTGGCTTGATTTTAAATGGCTCCATGTAGGTGTGCCCCTGTCTAGAAAGTACTTGTAATGTGGAATTAAGGACAAGACTCCAGCTTTAAGGCAACTGTTAAAGGAACAAGTAATGGAAAGTTGCCTTTCACATCTCACTCATTTTAGACACATTGTAGTTAACTCTGCCAGAAAAATAATTGGCTCAGATTGGGTCGATCCAATTGAGGATCTAAATAACCTTGCTTGAGTGGTATTTATATTTCAGCTTCTGGTGTTGGGTGAAGTTATTATGTGGCTTGAATGCTAATTGAACACTAAGTGAGGACAAAAATAATACCAAGGCCCATCAAATGATATCACTTCTTCTTAATCTCCTTGTAAATAAGCACGTGGAGAGTTTTTCAAAAGTTCATTTTGCACAGGTGGCTTCTCAAAAGTTCATTTTGTTTGTTGGGAACTTGCATTATTTCCCTAAAGAAATAGTGTTCTGCTTAGTGGTAAACTCCACTGGTCAGAGTAATAATAATAGTCCAATTCACCTAAGCTCTAATGTAACTGGGCAAAAGTATTTACAGAACCAGCCAGAGTCCTGGGTCCTGGGTGGCAGATGCTATTTAGGTTAAGAAAAAGAAGGATGAGGAGGAAGAGGATGCCCTACTCCCACCCTTTTCCTGGGACACAGACCCCTCCACGTCAGTGTCCAGACAGAGGTCAGGCTGAGAGTGGTGCCCAGGACAGGGCCTTAGCTGGACAGGCTGGTTGGGGCAGAAGCAGAATGGCCCTTAGCACCATGAAGATGGCTTGGCAGGTGCAGTTGACTCCCAGAGTTGCTGGGAGTTGAGAGGAGTAAACAGAATGACCAAGAGGAAGTCCCAGTATGAAGACTGGTAGTAGAGGCCGGGCACGGTGGCTCACACCTGTAATCCCAGCACTTTGGGAGGCTGAGGCAGGCTGATTACCTGAGGTCAAGAGTTCAAGACTAGCCTGACCAATATGGTGAAACCCGTTCTCTCCTAAAAAAAAATACAAAAATTAGCCGGGCTGTGGTGTCGTGCGCCTGTAATCCCAGCTACTCAGGAGGCTGAGGCAGGAGAATCGCTTGAACCTGGGAGGCAGTGGTTGCAGTGAGCTGAGATTGCACCACTGCAGTCCAGCCTGGGCAACAGAGGGAGACCCTGTCTCAAAAAAAAAAAAAAAAAAGACTGGTAGTAGAATTAGCATCTGAGAGTTGGCGTAGAAACCAGGGCAAATTCTGAAGCTGAAGCTGATTCTAGTAACTAAAAGAGAGTGAAAAACACATGGGGGGCAGGAGGCAGCCACATAGAAAGTGGGTTTCAAACCGGGAGGGTCATAGTGGGAGAGGATAGGGCTGAGGGAAGCGGTTGGGGTGCACAAGGGAGAGGGAACCCAGGCTGGAGTCTGTGGGTCAAGACACTTTATTTACAACTGTTCCTTCCATGTGAAGTCTTTTCCTTTCCAATTCCTTAAGGCAACCACATTTTCAGCAGCATTTTGACATCAGTGAGTTTGTCTCTGGCCTCTGCACCCTCTCTCACTTCCTGGTGTCCATCCTCCACTCCTCCATGACCCTCATCTGAGCCAACCTTAGGCTTTTGCTGCAACTTCTCCCCCACGTCTGTCTGCGCTCCTGCTGAGACTCACTCCCCTGCTCTCTCTGCCCTGCTTGTCAAGCTCCAGGCAGTCCTGCAGATGAGCTGAACATTCTCGAGAAGGAAAGGACTTCTATTGTGTAGAAATGATCAGTCACTCTGGTTCTTCTTCCAGAAGGGTTTGCATTCTGGGAGGACACTTGTCAGCCAAGAGAAATCTATAACTGGTGAATCTGAAGTCATACAACATGAAAGCAGTGAAGTGGAGTGGGAGGGAGGGAGGAGAGAAGAGGGAGATTTTTAGGCTGCGAGGTGAGCATTAGGCAGATTGATTCTGCCCAAGAATCTTCCCTGAGATGCAACCCTCAGAGTTGGGGCTGCTTGCCCAAGCTACAGGTTTTCTAAAAGCTCTAGATTTTCACTGCACTTCCCACTGCTATAGTAGGAACTAGCCTACTGGGGACTGGGGGACAGGAAAAATGCTAGTAAGATCAGCTAAAATCTACTGAGTACTCCCTGGGTGCCAAGGAGTGCTCTAAGTATTTTAATGCACACTATCTTTTAAGCTTCACAGCAATCTTATGAAGAAGATCCTGTCAGTCATCTTCCCTTGTATTACAGATGAGGAAACTGAGGCATGGAGAGGCTGGGTAACTAGAACCAAGCCCTGTTGCTAAATGTGGCAGAGCCAGGATTTGAAGCATGCCTAGCTGACCCAGCACCTCCATCTTTGACCTTGACTTTCTTCTGCCTATGAAGGCAGAGAAAGAAAGGGCAGCTTACAGGCACATAGCTTCGTAGCCTGGTAGCTTTGCATCTGTATCTTCCAGTTAAGGGGATCTGAGTTGAGCTAAGGAAGTGAGGATGAGGAAGAAGAACTCGGTGAAGACAAAAGCCAGAAGGGATGCAGCTGGCAGAAGGGAGCAGGCTCAGGTGTTAAGCTAGCAAGAGGGGCAAAAAGGGCTGGTCAGGGAGTGGCTGAGAAGACATTTCTACAGGAGAAAGACCAAGGATTCTACATGGACAGAGGCTGGAAGAAGATGAAGTGGGGAAAGACTTTGCATATGGATGGGATAAAGGTGATGACTTTATCTAAGAACAAGAATGAGGTAGCAGCCAAAACATGGCGATGTGAGGGAAGAAGGGAGAATGGAGAGGTGGATAGGGCTGACTGCCACATACTTCTCTAGAAAGGTGAGTTTTCTGCAAAAAGGAGAATTGGATGGTCATAGAAGCTGAGCAGGCAAAAGATTCTCTGGTTATGATTATCTGAGAAATCATTCTTAAAATATAATGCTGCGGGCCATGCACTGTGAGCCTGGCTCTGTATGAGGTATTTTACGTGCATCATTCTAATTCTCTCAACCCTTCAAGTTAGATAGTGATGCTTCCATTTTACCAAAGGAGGAAATTAAGCCCAGAATGGTTAAGTGATCTGCCCCAGATCATACCATTAGTAAATTACAGAGAGGGAATGTAAAACCAAGATGAGCTTGCTGCATTACTTAAGCACAGGCTAAGCTGCTGTGACACAGACATCCAAAGACCAGTGAGTTAGATAAGATGGAAGCTTATTTCTCTTTCATGTAATAGACTGGAGATCAGAGGCCCATGAAAGTGGAGTGGCTCTGCTCCACAATGTCACGTCATTTCAGACATCTGACTTTCTTCTGTTGTATGGCTTTGTGACATCTTAAGGTATTGTCCTCATCTGCACAGGTGAAGCTGGGTCCTTAGAATACCGGTGTCCTTGTGGGAAAAACTCCAAGCAAATGGCCTTATTGTGAATAATATGAGCTTTAATGAGATTGCTGTTGCTCCCATTGGATTGTCTGAGCTTGGTCATCATCTCACATCTGGCTGCAAGGGTGACCAGAGAACCTGCAGTCAGGTGGCTGTGTGCCCCAATGACACCAGGGCTCACATAGTAAAGGAAGAAGACTGTCAAAGCTTTTGATATTTTGGCCACATAATGTTGTCTCTGGTTTTGCAGATGAGGTGCTGTGCTGGACAACGCTGCCTTTGGGCTTCGGCTTGGACCGTGGGGAGGCAGAGCAATGATGTTGTTAGGATTAAATGACAACCAGCCTTCTGTTATTTCTGGAAGGTATTTTTCCATGACTCAAAGAGTGGGAGGAGGGGAAAAGTTCCTTGCTGTTGAGATATTTGCCTCTTGGAGAAGGTTCAGAAGAGCTACCTTGGTAGTCAGAGGAAGGCTCACATTTTCTAAATATTCACATAACTCAGAATCAACATGGAAAAAATTTAAGTATGCAAAGCACAAGGAAGAGAATCAAAACTACCTGCTGTTTCTCCACCCAGAGAGACCCCTGATTAGTGACCTTTCTCCTAAACAGACAGGCGCGTATACCTTTTATTTTTTTGCAACATTTGAATGATGTGAACATACAATTTTGTGTCTTGCTCTTTTTCCTGTCTGGGACCATGAGCAGCTGCCTGTGGCTATGGGGAGAAGAAAAGCTTACTTTCCTCTAATGCTCTGTGTGGCAGCTGTGCACTGACTACTGGCTGTATTATGAACAGATGAATAGGTGTACAGCACCGGGGGCTCCACCCAGGGCCCTGGGGTGGCCCCACACGGGAGGCCTGAGCAGGCAGAGGTCGGGTGGAGAGTGATGGGCCGATGGGGGCTCTCCAAGGTCCTCTTCTTCCCCAGGGCCTCCCACACTGTGCAGCTCCAGCTCCTTAGAACTGTCACTGCCAACATGTTATTTTCCCATCTCTCTAGATCCTAAGAACCACTGCCTGTTTAAGCCAGCAAAGGAGATGTCTTCTGCAATGCCAGGGCTGGGAAGGGGTGGGACTGAAGATTGCCTGATCTGATTCTTACTCCCCAGCCGGTGAAGCCACAGCGGGTCTGCCGTGGGCTCAGATGAAGTGTAATTGGCAGATGGTCTCTCCGCATTCATGCTCTCCCCACCTGGGACTAGGAATAAGAAAGGCCCACAGACTGCCCCACCTCGGAGCTGAGGCAGCCTCCATCCCATCGGGTCACCCCTGGTTTCTGCAGTCTCCTCCTGCCACCCGTGCAGTCAAGAGGTGCAGAGACCCCAGGCGTGGCGAGCCTGTCTTCATTCTCAGGTAGACAGGTGGCACATTTGTTTCTCTCCAGAGCCTCAGAACATCTCACAGAGGCATGGCATCAACTCTGTCTTAAAACTTCCCGGACAAGGGGATCAGCCTGTCTTCTAGGGGGAAGCCAGGTTGTCCTCACAGGTGAAAGTCCTTGTCCTTGGGCTGCTGACGAGCAAAGGGTGGGAGGAAGCTTTTTCCCCAGCTTCAGGCTTAGCGATGTGCTCAGCCTCCTCTTTGGTCTTTGTGTACCTTTGGCGTAGATTTTGGAACTTCCAGAGAAGGCAGGAGTGAGCTGTGGGGGAAGGAACGACGTTTCCTTAAGGAATTGTTGCCAGCACTTGGGTCATGAAGCCCTTCTCTGTGTCTCCTCCGACTGGAATACTCATCACGTCCTCTTAGCTGATAACAATAGCTGACTTTAATAAGTGTAGTGCTTCCTATATATGTGTATGTGTGTATATATATTACTTTTAAAAATGATTTGTTGTATATTTCATAAATGAAGTAAAAATTCATAACAATCCTGAAATAAAGGTCAGTTGGATACATCAAATGAAGTTATCGTTTGACATATATGTAAATTAATAGAGCTAAAGAAAAGAATGGCAGGCATGGACCTCTTCAATAACTGCAGGAATCATTCAGCACCATGCCAGAATATTGAATCAAAAGCTTTCAGTCCTGAAGTTTGTTATATGAGCTAGAACGTTATCATGATGATCATTTTGAGGCTTGCACAAGGAGAACACTGGTGTGCTGTGGTCGTGTTATCAACAGGAAAAAAATCACTTTGTGTGTGAGTGTGTGTGTGTGTGAGACAGAGTCTTGCTCTGTCACTCAGGCTGGAGTGCAGTGTTGTGATCTCGGCTCACTGCAACCTCTGCCTTCCGGCTTCAAATGACTCTCATGTCTCAGCCTCCCAAGTAGCTGGGATTACAGGCATGCGCCACCACGCTGGCTAATTTTTTTTGTATTTTCGGTAGAGACAGGGTTTCGCCATGTTGGTCAGGCTGATCTTGAACTCCTGACCTAAAGAGATCCGCCTGCCTCCATCTCCGAAAGTGCTAGAATTACAGGCATGAGCCATGGTGCCCAGCCCCAAGTTGTTTAATCAATTTTAGCTCAGGGGCAGACAAATATTTACTTTCCTACTCAAAATGCATGATAAGGTAAATTGAGTTCATAAATATTAGTGACGGGGTAATAAAGAGTTTACCAGATGCTCAACTCAGACCATAGAGGGGTCTTCCATATGTAGTGCAAGTGCCAAGAAAGGCAAATGGGGAAAGTTTACAATATCATAATACATTAAACTATTATATATGTATATGCTTGCTATGTATATTATGTATGTAGTAATATAGTGCTTGCTATATGATTACTATACTCTTATATATCTGCATACTGTGTATATGCTTACTATATATTACATATCTATGGTAAGCACTATGGTAGTTATGTAGTAAGCACTATAATAATGTGTATATGTATGATAAACACTATATATATATATGGCACTATTCTAAGCACTTTGCAGCTATTCATCTATTCAGTTATCAATCTTCACAACAAACTATGAGTGGGCTCCATTATGATTCCATTTTAAGATGAGGAAATGGAGGCCCTGTGCCAGCTAGTTATATTTGCTCCCACAGATCCATTTGCCCCCCCTCCTCTGGCATGCTCTCCACCCCAGGAGCCAGGTCTAGCTAGACCACACAGACAAGCTTCTGTGTTCTGTGCTTTTAGTTGGGTTTAGCCAGTAAGGAGCCTCATCAGGAGAATGGAGGGAGAGAAGGGAGAGTGAGGACGTGCACCCGTTACCCTGGTTTCCTCCCTACAAGATGACGGTGACTGTCTGGGTTCCCCCACCTGAGGACACAGCTGCTTTCAGAACAAGGCTCTGCAGCCTCTCTCTCCCCTTGTTCCTTCTGGCCCAGTGCTGGGGACAGCTCTAACACTGCTGGTCCTGTGTCCCTGCACTGGCGCCTGTGTTTTCCCCATGCTCCACCCACATCTTTGAAATGATCATTTATAAATACCCCTTCCAACGACCCTAATTTGGTGTTCCATCTGTTTCCTACTGAAACTCTGGCTGATGTGGCCCCTATGGGATTTAACTCTTTTGCACAAGATCATCCAGCCAGGAAGGGACAGAGCTGGGGTGTGAACCCAGGCAGTCTGTCCTGGTGTCTGTGCTTCTAACCACCACCTAAACCTCTCCATGGAAAGAGCACTGGTCAGTAACCCAGAGTGCTGGTTTGTGCTCCTCTGCCAACTGGCCATGCAGCTTTGAGCAAATAATGAGATCTCAGCTTCTGTTTCTCAGGCATACAGTGAGGTGGTTGCAGTTCCTTTTTGTTCTAACACATGGCTTCCCAAATTCCCACTGTAAGTCAGTCTCTTGCAGTCCTGCATTTCCTAGGGCCTTTCTTTGCTATTAGTTGTCGCTGTGAAAGCACAAGTTACATTCAACTCCCCAAAACAACTGAGGACACAATTTGCAGGGGCAGTGTTGTACTAAATAAAGCTGTGCTCCATTGTGAAGGTGTTCCGCCTCAGGAAACCGCTCTTTTCTCATTCTAGTTCAAATGTGCGTCCCAATTTGCTTGTCTTATTTATTTATGTTCCTTCCCTCTGAACTCCATTTAATTAAATAACCAGAAAAAAAAATGTGTATTCACTGTGAGTTGCCATCTTCATTCAGAAAAATGCTGAGCACACCAAAAGCCAGCAAAGTTCTTGTTTTTGCAATTCAGTGAAGCCTGCTTTCTTTTTCATAAGCACCAAATGACTGCATGCATGCCAACCACGGAAATTAGGATTTGGTTTTGGTTGGAAAAAACGATCACTGACCTGAATCAAATGTCAGTTTTACTCTAGGTGCAAGAATTTTGTGATTGAAGAATGCTGTTTAGGGATAGGTTCTGCCCATCAGTTTCCCAGGGAGCTGGGCACAGTGGGTTGGAGCAAATAGAGTGAGGGAAGCTTGAATGGGACTAAAGGGGACACAGTGTTGGGACACACCACATGGGAGACAGGGAACACAGCTTGGAGAGATCTTGTGGACGCAACCACCACAAAAGAGGATAACTCACAAGCAATCCTGCTGCCGCCACCCCCAGCCTAACACCAAGGCAGGGGAAGGCTGAGAGACACAAGATTGATAGCATGTATTTAATGTGAAAAATGTTGGAGGGTCTTAGTGGACCACAAGTTCACAGAGTTGGTGATCCTTCAAGACAAAGAGGTCAAGGTCCAAAAACTTAAAGTTTTCGTCCAAAGTTATAAGGCTTGGGCAAAACCAAGACTCAAACTCAGACTTTCTTAAAGTCCATGCTCATTCCTTTATACTGTAGGTTCCCAGACCTGGAGAATCGAAAATACGTGTAGATTCCCAGGCCCCATTCCTGACCTCCTGAATCAGAAAATTCACAAGGGTAGCTTAGGAATCAATATTTTTGCTTTGGAACGCATCAAAAGGATACAATGTTGGGATTAGCACCTAAATAATCAGGGGACAGGCAGAGTATATGGGACCCCAGTAGAAACTAGAGTGGCCATTAGTTGATAACGGCCAAAACTGAGTGATGAGCAAATCGGGTTAATTTTACTATTTTCTCTGCGTACTAAGCATTGCGGGAGGGACTGAGTAAAGTGTCTCTAAAAGGGACATAAGTATTGTCTTTTTCCCAAACAGTCAGCAGAGCTGTTGCCATCAAGCATTATGAAATGTGGGAAGCAAAGGGCTGGAAGAATCTCGAAAAGTCGAATCTCCCCACTGCATGCTGGCATCATCACCATAACCACTCTCATCGAGAGGATCATCTGTTGGGGGCAGGATTTGCTCTTTTCCTGGGCTTACTAAATAACCAGCAGAGGGAAACACACAAGAAAGTTTGGCACATTGGATGTTTCCTCAGGCTCAGCACAACCAGCTCCACCTGCCCAACATCACACGAAGAGAGTCAACACTGCAGGACCTGACACAGGCAGGGGCCAGCCACCCTGGTGTTGGCAAGCAGCCCACCCAGGAGACAGAACTCCAGGTCTGCCTGATGGTTCACATCATGTGCAGGGCCAGCGGGGGGCAGTGGCAGCAGAGCATACAAACACACTGACTTTGGGGAGGTGCAGACTTAGCACCAAGTCTGATTTGGTCATTGCTGCGGGCAGGTTGTCAAATCTCTGGGAGCCTCCATTTTCTTACCTGTAAAATGAAAATAATAATACAGTTGAGCATCCCTACTCTAGAAATCCGAAATCGAAAATGCTCCAAAATCCAAAACTTTTTGAGCATCAACATGACACCACCAGTGGAAAATTCCAACCTGGTTTCATGTGACAGGTTATAGTCACAACTATGTTTCATGCACTAAAGTATTTAAAATATTACACAAAATCACTTTTGGGCTATGTGCTGCATATAAGGTGTATATGAAACATAAATGAATTTCATGTTTGGACTTCAGTCCCATCCCCAAGATATCTCATTATATATACGCAAATATTCCAAAATCTGAAAAAATCCAAAACACTTGTGGACCCAAGCATGTCGGATAAGGGATATTCCACCTGTAATACTGCTGGTGTCCTGGCTTGGGAGGATTTCTGGAGGTGGTGCACAGGAAGCATTTAGCAGAGGGTCTCATGCATGAGGAATGGGAGTTATTCTTCTTATGGAATCTGCTCTCTGGCTCTCGGGCCTCCCTGGAGCAGAGGCTGCCCAGTCTCTGTCTGCAGCCCCATCTTCCACTTCAGTGTGCTCCAGCTTCAGTGTGCTCCAGCGGACTCTGGGGCCCAGAGCTGCATCTCTTTGCCTGAAGCCTTTCTCTGTAGCCACAGAAGGTCATTCTGCCCTCAGGCAAGGCAGTCCAGGAGGAGAATTAATGAGAGAAGCAATCTTTGAATCCTGCACGGAAACACTGAAGCTTCTCCCACCCACAAGGTATGTGTGTTCTGCTGGCTTCCAGCTCCCTGTGGCATTAGGCTCCTGTTACCCACAGCCATGGCTGCTGTGATAACACACCCTGTACCGGCCACATCCCCTTTCCTGTCTCATTTCACTACTCCCCTAATGATGTTTTCCTTTACCTCCCAAGGAAGCAACATGTGCTTGTGTCCTTTCCCAGGGATTGCTTCTGGGGGTAACTCAAACTAAGGCATTGCCCACTACCCGCCACGTTCTCCCGATTTCTTCAGCATCTCAGGCTCCTCACTCAAGCTGACTTCAGATCTCATGTCTCCCTCCTCCTGCCCTTTTGGTGGTGGCCGCTGTGTGCCATGGCCAGATATCCAGTGGAGGCCCCTCATCACAGCTGTGGCAGATGTGAACTGCGTGTCCCTGCCTTAGGTGCAGCCTGCGTGGGGTTCCCCACCACGGTCTAAAGCCTCTGAGGTGCTCCCTGCATTCCTGCAGGTAGGCTGAGTTTCTTGAAGAAATGGGGAATGTGCTTCTTTCCCCCAGCTCCGTCATCTGGATTCTAAAGCAGCCCACTTGGACCCAGCCCAGACCAACCCTACAGTCTCCTGTGGTGCTAGCTGGCTCAATAATGTATCTTTATTTGCCCCATCCACCTCCCAAATAAATCACTGTGCTCAAATCTTTGCCTTGGGATCTGCTTTGGGGGCCCCCCAAACTAAGACAGCTAGAGTTTGAAGGGGTCTTGGTAGCAGAGTTTTGTGGGATTCTGCTCTTGGATCCTTTGCTGCTCAGAGGGCAACAAGGCCCCGGTTTTCGGTGGTAAGTGGGTGGTGATGACCCCTTGGCATGCATCGTGACTGTTAAGAATGTCTTCACTTGGTGAATAAGCTACTGCAGCTCCACCCAGTAAGCAGCCGGAATGCCAGGGTGGATGCGGGTCTTTGGTACACTGCTCTCTGATGCTGCGGCTAGGAATTCCCACCTACCACATTTCTGCCCTGCCAGTGGCTCCCAGTTAGGCTCTGGGGCGGGGGGCAACGGGAAGCTGGAGGAAAACTGGAGGCTAGAGAAGAAAGAAGGGACATGCTCCTTCTCATCTCCTCCCTTCCTCTGGTGTCAGGCTCATCCCAGCAATGATGCATCACCTTTGCACTCACAACACTTGGTTCCAATAGCAACAATTGGTTCCAGTTAATGGCTTTGCCCAAACCAGCTTCATGGCACCCCTCAGGGATACAAGCACCAGTTAGCTGGTGCCCTCTACTTAGACAAAACTCTTTCCTGTGTGCCCCCCAGTACTGGGATGAGAGCTGCATCCTGCCGTTACCATCTCTGTGATACCTCAGTGAGGGTGGCCAGCAGTCCTGCTCTGCCTGAGACTAAAGTTTTTCCCAGAGCACAGTGCTTTAAGTGCTAAAACTAGAACAGTCCTGGGCAAACTGGGATGGTTGTTCACCCTATCTCAATGTGCCCATTTAGACCTGTCTGGTTCCTCAATTCTTGGTATTAAATTCTCTCTGTAAAAATAACTAATGTGGTTTAAAACTCCTGGCTGGGCTGGAGCCTGGTTGATACAGGAAGAAGTGCAGGTGCTAGAGGACGCACCAGCTTGTGCAATAATATCACTAGCATTTGAGAGCTATGGTGGTGACAGCACATACAAGTGCGGTGGAGATGATTGTTAGGTGCATCAATGCCCTGAAGGGAGAAAATAGGCCAGGCTGAGTCAGCTAACAACCAAAGTAAGCACAGAATTAGAAGCCAGAAAATCTCTATGACAGCATGTAACAGCTAGAGCCAGTCCTAATGCACTGCCAAGATAGTGCCTTACAGCTTGCAAACAATAATGACCTCCTGTTAATGCCAAAACTGCCTTGGCAGCAAAAAGGGTAGAATGTCTAGCAAGGTAGGCATACAAAAATAGATTTATTATGTAAGACCAGAGAATCTACCAATTAACAAGGCTCTGTAACTGGATGGCACATCCTGCTGAAAATTAAGCTTATGATCTGATAAAAGAATAGCAAAGTCTGAATTTGTGGCTCCAGCAAATGTTCTGTGTCAAAGTCAAGGGGCTGATAAGGAGGAAGAGACCTGAGGACCTGAAATGAGGACTTTCAGGTAGATGTGCTTGAGAACCTTCAATCCTCAGATTCCCTGGAACTCTCTCGGCTTGCAGAAGTGGCCCACTTCCCTTGTAGAGAGAAAAAGCCTTCCCTTACCCCAAGACCATACAAAGCCCTCACTTGAGGCAGAGGCTTTCTGAGATGATGAGTACCCTTCTCAAGATTTCCTCCACCAGCCCTCACAGCTTCTAGACCAGGGGTCAGCAGACTTATTTTGTAAAGAGACAGCAAAAAATTTAGGCTTTGTGGTCTGTACAGTGTTTGCCATAATGATTCAACTCTTCCATTGTATCACAAAGGCAGCATAGACAATATGTAAATGAATGGGTATTTCAATAAAACTTTATTTACAAAAAACACACAATATTTGACACATGGGCCATAGTTTGCCAATCCCTGTTTAGGCCAATAATTGGTACATGCCTTGGAATGCCCGATGAGAGAATTACTGTCATCGTTTCAGAAAGGGATGTAACATCTAGCTAATGTGTACCAACATGACCCAGGAAGACATGTTTGGGGCTGAATTTTGAGAATGCTGGACTGAAGGAGAGTTTATGGATATGTGGGCTGTCTCCTGTGGCTCAGGATGTAGTGTCCTGGCAAGAACACCTAAGCCAGTCCTGATGCACTGCCAAGATAGTGCCTTACAGCTTGGAAACAATAATGACCTCTTGTTAATGCCAGAACTTTGCAGCAGAAAGGGTAGAGTGTCTAGCGAGGTAGGCATACAAAAATAGATTTACTATGTAAGACCAGAGAATCTGCCAATTAGCCAGCTCTGGGAGAGCCCAGAGGGTTTGCTCTCCATTAGCAATATAAGGAATACGTCAGTGAGGTGGCCATCAACATTGTTGAGAAACTTCCGGTGATTGACCTTTCTAGGCTGCTATGGGTCTGGGCTCCCTCTTAGTGTCATTGGGTATGATGGGATTCAAGAAGGGCACAGCACAGTTGGCAGCACTTACCCATCAAAGGCAAAGTAGACAAATGATTGTAACAGCAGCAAAGTTAGAAGGACAATCTGGGTTCTTATCTGCAGGAATCAGGGAGTAGTAACTAATAGACTGTGGTGTTCCTAGCAGTGAGACTGGAACATATTGTTTGAACTATGTAACTAAAGATCAAAAGCTGATGAGCAGAAGGCTGATGTCAGCTGCTGCAATGAAAAATCTTGATCCCTTGCCCAGTTTCCAGACCTGAGCCACTTATCAGACCCAGAGCCTGTATTGAAAGAGAGGCTGGGTACCCCTGAGAAATGACCTTGTATTGCCACATTAAGCATACACAGTAGTGATACCCCCTATCTATTACCAAAAAGATCTATGGACATTTCTTCTGAGGACTCAGATCTTTGAAGAGCTGTGGACACAAGATCTGAGCTAAAGCTGACACGATGGGACCAGTGCCATAATAACACCCTCTGTTGATATGAGGAAAGTCCTGGCTTCAAATCAGTCTCATAGTGAGGCCAATGGATCTATGCCCTAGCTGCTGTTCATTTTCCTGGTCTCTGAGTTCATAATCGAAATAGACATACTTAACAGTGGGAGAACCTGTTATAAAATAAGAGCCATGATGCTACGAAATGCCTAGTGGAAGTTCTCAAAAATTCCTCACCCCAGCCAAGATAGAAAATCAGAAATACTGCCTCTTTCTGGATTAGAACGCCACCCTCCAAGGCTCAAGGAAGGCAGACTTTATGGTGGTCCCCATCATATCCCTAAATAATTTACTAGTCCCACCACACAAAAATGAAATGGTGCATTGCAGATGAAGATGGACTACTGACAAATTAACCAAGTGGTAGCCACAGTTATGAGTGCTGGAATAGATCAACACGACATCTATCACCAAGTATAATAATCTGCCAGAAGCATTTTCTCTCTCTCTCTCTCTCTGTCTCTCTCTCTCTCTCTCTCTCTCTCCTTGAGACAAGAGTCTCGCTCTGTAGCTCAGGCTGGAGAGTGCACTAGCATGATCTTGGCTCACTGCAACCTCCGCCTCCTGGGTTCAAGCAATTCTCATGCCTCAGCCACCAGAGTAGCTGGGATTACAGGCACGTGCCACCATGCCTGGCTAATTTTTGTATTTTTAGTACAGACGAGGTTTCAACACGTTGGCCAGATTGGTCTTGAACTCCTGACCTCAGATTATCTGCCCACCTTGGCCTCCCAAAGTGCTGGGATTACAGGCATGAGCCACCATGCCTGGCCATGGCAGATGCATTTTCTTAAATTTCTATTAGGAGAGAGGATCAGAAGCAACTTGCCTTTACTAGGAATAGAAAACAACATACATTCACAGCATTGGCCTAGAGCTCTGTGAATTTCCTATTGTTTGTCAAAATACAATTCAAAGGACTTTGGTTGTCTAGATATTCTGCAGAACATTCTGTTAGTCCACCATATTGAGGACATGATGGTAAGCAAACCCAGTTAACAGGAAATGGTAAGTATTCTGAATACCCTGGTAGGATTTATATGCATCAGAGCGTAGGAGATACACTCTAAAATCTTCAGGGACCTGCTACTTTGGCAAAGTTTTTAGAGGTCCGATGATTAAGGGCATTTCAGGATAGCCCCTACAAGCTGTAAGACAAAGGCATAACACTTTTTAGAACACTTCAGATTTTGAAGATAGCATATACCACACTTAGAAATACTATTCTAACTCATTTACTGGCTTCCAGTTTTGAATGGGACCCAGAGAATCTAAAAGCTTTCCTTCCTCAGTGAATTGACACCTTTATGTAATGTTACTTTTGATCCCTGGTATTAATTCTTTGTTCCAGAGTCTACTTTGTCTGATACTAACAAAGTTACTCCAACATTCTTTTGATTGGTGATTTCATAATATATCATTTTCCATGTTTTTACTTTTAAATTTTTTCTTTATATTAAAAGTATATTTCTTGTAAACAGCATACAGTTTTTTTTAAAAAAATTCAATATGACAATCTCTGCCTTTTAATTTGGGTGTTTAGACCATTTACATGTGACATACGTATTGACATGGTTTGTATCAGTACAAATATTTATAATGGTAGATTTAAATCTACCATTTTGCTAGTTGTTTTCTATTAGACTCACATGTTTCTCGTTGCCTTTTTCTTCTTTTTTTACCTGCTTTTCAGATTAAGCATTCTATGTTTTCATTTTAGCTCTATACTCAGTTTATTAGTTATACTATTCTTTTTATTTTTAGTTGCTTTAGAGTTTACTGTGTACATATTTATTTATCACAGTCTAACTTCAAATATTATGCCATTTCATTTGAAGTGCAAGAACTTTACAAAGTATACTGCCATATGTTTTCTTATTGTTGTCATAAATCCTAGAGTAGAGTACTTTGTGAGCATTTTTGCTTTAGGCCAGTGATAGGCACACTGATTTGTGATTGTGCCAATTCCAGCCTGCCACCGGTTATTGTAAATAAAGTTTTATTGGAATATAGCCATTTGTTTGCATGGCTGCCTTCAGGCTACAATGGCAGAGTTGAATGGTTGCAATAGAGACCACGGGCCCACAAAGCCTAAGGTATCTACTATGTGGTCCTCTATTGAAAGAAAGTTTATCAATCCCTGCAAATAGTCAAGTATTTTTTAAGGCAATTAGTAATAGGCAAAAATGACCTTTATATTCACCATTTCTGAAGTTCGTTTCTTTGTATAAATCTAAGTTTCTGACTGGCATCATACTCCTTCTGTCTGAAAAACTTCCTTTAATATTTCTTACAGATGAGGGCTGCTAACAATGAGTTCTCTCGGCATTTATTTGCCTGAAAAAAGTCTTTATTTCACCTCCATTTAAAAATGTATATTTGTTAGGTGTGGAAATCTCTACCAACAGAAAATGTCTATCAGGACTTTAAAAGCCTTCCATTGCCTTCTGGCTTCCACTGTTTCTGGTCTCTTCCAACCAACTGGCATTTTAGCTGACTTTGCCTTACCTGCTTGTAAGGTGTCTGTGCTGGTCTCCCCTGCTCTGACACTGATGAGCCTGCCCTCATGCTTCCTGTCTTTGGAGGGGCTTGTCCTTCTTTGGAATTCTAGTTGCTTAGTTGCCCTGTGATGTCAGTCCTCTGATGAGTTCAAGGAACATTATCATTTTGTATTTCATTTGTCATATTCTTGTTGTTAGGGTAGAGGTGATATACTTTCTAACTCTCTACATAGAAGTGGAAATCAATCTAAGATTTTTAACAAAATGATTTAAGGCAGTCTTAAAGAGTTAAAGAGTTTGGTCCCAATACAAACGGAGTTATTTAACTCATTCAAACATTTAAAGTAAGATTTATAAATTTAATATATTTTATTTCCTTGTTTAGGTACTTCAATTGCCTGATGGCTAAACCAAACCTTTTCAGATTTCTTAGGTAATTTTCATAAATTTAATGGATTACAATTATAAACAGAATGAATCCAGGTCTTTCTAAATGTTCCCATACTGTTTATAAACTTAAATAATTTCAAATTAAAAATCCTGCGTTTAAATCACTTAATTTTAATATGAATCACAAAGTTGGTCTATTACTTGCATAGCCCCAAATCTCTTAAGTACTTCAAGAACATAGACACCAAAAATGAATAAAATACTTATGTCAAGAGTTGTAGAGCCTGAGATTTCACTCTGCTTTCCAACTAGCAAGTTTCATCAAAGCTGGCAAAAGACATGAGATCCTGGATCAGAGACAAAGAACTTTGTTATGTCAATAGTAGTAGACAGAGTATCAACATTTACACCAGTTCCTCAAGTCCCAGTTCCCATAGGGTGATGTGAAGAGCCCAGAGGCATCTTTACACACAATGGGTTACAGGAGAGGAACCCCAAGCTTAGAGATCTGGAATCTTTTATAATAGGCAGTAAGTCCACTTGACCTTTGCATTGGAGGGAGACGTTATCTTTATTATATCAGAGAGCAAACCAACCTGCCCTTTGTTCTTGAAGGGCACCATCTCTGTCTTCCAAAGCTGTTCAGAAAAACACCCTCTGCTCACAAGACATGCAGAAATATGAAAGACCCATGGAAAATTGTATCTAAACACCTTAACCATGAAATAATGTTACTATGTGTTGATTCCTCTGAAGTATTCTAAATTCAAATCTGGTGTTTGAAAGGTGTTCTCCTACTAAGGAAACAGTTGTCATTTCAAACAACTTTTGGATTATCTTCTCACACAACTTTTGTGGTTGTCTGTCCCAGCTGAGGAGTTTTTAAGACCAGTGGATTTCTGGCTGGAATGTTGTCTTGCTTCTTGTTGGTAACCTTGACTGCCAGGCTGATCCAGTTTTATAGTCACTCTGCTAACGTTCCCTAAACAGGGTGTTCTCCCTGCCTGTGTCACCTACTCTTAATGTTATACAGGATCTCATTCCACTGATCTCCAACTTGGCTGCCACACTCTTTGATTGGGTTCGGCACAGCTATTTACTTCTTTGTTCTATTTCAAGTTCTTTTCACATCAACCCTATATTTTAGACCACAAACCTCGGAGTTATGTCTAATTTTACAGTCTTAATTGTTAAGAATATTTGATTCGATTCTTTCATGGGATAAAAGAGGGTATCTTCTCACTTAATTCTCTCTTTCAGTTCTAGAAAGTGCTAAGAATACCAACTTGGCTAAGGGAAAGAGGAAATTCTTCCTGTGAAGGTCTCTGTCTCAGAGACATAACCATTATGGTAGCAGCCCGGGTGCTGTGGCTGGGAGTTGGGTGCTTCTGTCCACTCCAGAAGAACTATGGGCCCCTGGAAGGTGCTTCTCCTCAACCTGCTGTGCACATCAGTGGCAGCCCCACCCCACCCCAGGAGGACCACCTGCTATGGAGGCTGAGTCCAGCCAGGAGTCCAACCAGCACCTGGATGTTTACCTTTACAGCACCAAGGCAGCTCCCAGGGAGAGGCGAGCTCTGACTACACCCAGATCCATTCCCCAAGTTCCTCTTTCTTCCCTCCAGCGGATCATTAATCTCCCAGGACACATGCTGCACGCTAATTGTGCTCATAATGGGAAATGAGTCAGAGAGAAGGGTCACCACTGTGGTGACATGGAGCTACCTTTTTATAGGTACATGGTTTTAATGGGAATGTGAGAAGGAATCACTGCCCTAAGGCAGCCTCTGGTTTGACTAGCTTGAAACAACCAAGGTTTCTCCCCATTTCAAATTCTAAATTAATTATAGCCTAAGCTTAGCATCTTAGTCAGACTTCATTAACCATTCAGTTTGAAGGCCATTACCGACCGCAGAGCATCCGGCTCCACCAGACAGCGGCACATCTGTACTCTCAACTCACGGAGAAAAACTTGAGCTGCTATCTCATTTCCCTCGGTTAATAGCAAAATAAAGAGTACCCTGGGGGAAGGAGACCTGTCAATGGCAAGATAGGCTCACATCCCATCCGGGCTGGCAGGGTTTCACTTTTCTCACAGAGCTGCAGGAGGAAGGGGAGCCCTCACTGGGAGCTTTTTCGGGGACTCCAGCTGAGCCTGAGCTCCAGGGCAATGTGGAGCAGTCCTGAGAAGTTGTCTCAGTTTCACAATTACTTTGTTGCCAGAATGCACAGAAAACTGGGGTGCTCTTATTTCTGCTTTATAAGACTCCTTGTTGTGAAAAGGGTCTGGGATTCTAGGGATTGGAAAGCAGGTATTGTTGTTGGGAACCAGGAGATTTGAGCTGTAGTCCTGTCCCCACTGCTCACTGACTTCATCCTTGGATGAGTCACTCAATCTATTAGTTTACTAATTCCTGAGAGGATGTAATTCTTCCTGCCTTGCTTATATCTCAGGGTTGTTGTTGGAGTCTAACTAAATAATAGGTTAGTAAATAAGAATGCACTCTGTGAAGTATTGTCTTCCTTATTCTAAGCTGGAGTCCAGAGAGTTGGTTCTGTTTTTAGGACAGGACAGAGCTGGCTTGCTCAGGGGTTGAGAACAAAGCTACCTGGGTTCTTGGTCTGAAACTATACTCAAGAGCTAAAAAGACTGGTCATGGCATTCTACCTATGGAAGCTATGTTGTCGTAGAAGTGGAAGAAAAGGGGAGTCTTCCCTGCCTAGCTGTGAGAGCATAGGTAAGCCACCTAAGTAAGCGAGTTTACCAAGGAAGAGAGTGCAATGAGAAAGAGAAGACAGCAGGCTTGGGAGCAGGAAAGAAGAGAGATGGAATCAAAGGACTGAAAGATAAGGGGCATCCAAGACTACATGGGGTTGGCTCTGTCCTCAAGCTGTATCTGGAATCCCAATGTTTCTCACCTCTGCTGCCACCTTGCATAGCCATCATCTGCAGAGGTTCCTGAGGGTTGTCATCCCTCAGGACATGTTGAGGCTCTCATCCTCAACATGTCCTGCCATTTGTTTTTGACACAGAAGTCAGAGTAAGTAGCATTTAGACAGCCCAGTTTCTCACAGAGCCCTCAGTAGCTCCTTAGTCTACTCAGGGTAAAAGCCAAAGTCTTGACAGAAACCTGTGAGGCCATCCTCTCAGGACTTACCTTTCGCCACTCCCTCCCCTGTCACCCACCCAGTCATATGAGCTCCCAGGTTGATGCAGGCTGTTCTAGGCTATTCCAGGCTGCTCCAGTTTGCTGCAGACCATTCTAGGCTGCTTCAGGCTAGTCTAGGCTGTTCCAGGTTGATCTAGACTGTTCCAGGCTTTTCTAAGCTGTACCAGGCTGCTCCAGGCTGTTCTAGGTTGTTCTAGGCTGCTCCAGGCTGTTCTAGGCTGCTCCAGGTTGTTATAAGCTGTTCCAGGCTGCTTCAGGCGCTCCTAAGCTGCTCCAGGCTCTTCTAGGCTGTTCCAGATTGTTCTAGGCTGTTCCATGCTGTTTTTATGCTGCTCCTTAGTCAGTGCCTTAGTCAGCAAACCAACTTTGCTTTTCCCCCCAAACCTCTGGTGATTCCCCAGGAATCATTCACATCTTTGCTCTGATGTCATTTTCATAACGAGGCTTCTCACGAAGACCACTGCAAACTCCCCAGCTCTCTACCTACCTATCATTTCCTCTTGCTTGTCTTTCCCATAGCACTTAACACCTTCTACAATGCCATACCTTTTATTCATTTATTACATTTATTGTTTATTTTCTGTCAGATTCCTCCTCTTCTCACCCCTCCCAGCCCCTCACTCCCCCACCCTCACCCCTAGAATGGAAATTTTGTGAGGGTGATGGTTTTTTTCTGTCTGTTTCTTTTCACTGATGTATCCCAGGGACCCAGAACACTGCTGGGCACATGTTAAGTATTTAATAAATATTTGTGGAGAGTGAATAATTTTGTGGAAGGTAAGAGTAGAGACTGTCTCAAGAAAGATGGAATTTAACAGTGTCCACACTTCCAAATGCTTCAGAGAGATCAAGGTGAGAGCTGAGATTATATGGTCAGTGTGCACCTTAAATATAGCAGTATCAGTAGTATGTTTGGACTGAACAGATTGTGGGGTTGATGAGATGAATAAATGGTATGCAAGTGCAGGCAAGATAAATGTTGACAACTCATCTAGGAAATGCAAGAGTGAAGGACTGTGAGTAATTTGAATGCTAACGTCTCCAAGGAGGGAGATGTTACTTATCCAGCGTTGATCTAGCAATGATTTAGGGAGCACTGTCTTACAGGCCACAGCCCAGGGATGTCACCTAAGGTTTTTCTAGGTTAGCAAGGAGCACAGGCTTGGAACTCTTCATCACAACACACACTGTGCTATAAATGTTATACTGTAGTAGAGTCATATTCATATTTATATTAAATGTTTTTAGGACATAGACCTCTTTAAGAACCTGATAAAGCTATCCGTTGTTTTCTCCTTAGATAAAAACATACAGATGCTCATATACGAAAATCCACACAACATTTTAGGAATTCACAAATCCTTGAGGCCAGCGAGTGGATCCCTGGGGCTCTCTGTGGAAAAGATTTTCAAAAAAGTATTGTGGGAAGAGGCAAATAAGTAGCAGATCTGTCCTTGGAGAAGGAGGAAGCCTCTGGAGAAGGGGGCGGCTGAGCTGGGCCTTGGAAGATGAGCAAAACTTCCTTTCTTGACCCCAGCGTGGGCAGGGCAGGACATAGCGCGCTGAGCCTGTGGACAGGACCTGGGGGATGAGAGCTGTTGAGTCTAACTGACTGCAGTCCCTGAGTTTGCACTTTCACTGATGGCTTTAGGCTGAGAGTGGGCTGGGCTCCCTAAGATGGTGTGGTTAAGTGACCTGAGGAGGGCTGGGCTCCAGCCAGCATCACTGAAGAAGAGTCACCATGGAAGTAAATGGTTTTCATAACCTGGCCAGATCTCTCAACGAGAAAGGGCCCTGGGTAGGACCGAGGTAGATGTGTCTCTCCATGGGAGGGGTCCCTGCTGTGGGACCACATCTGTTTTGATTTGACTCTCAGGACATGGATTTATTTCGCAGATGTGGCCTTTTGGTGGGTTCAGCATTTTACTCCCCTGGCAGTCACTGATTTAGAGAGGCTCAGCCGACTCTCTGTGTTTGTTTGGCTTTGAGGAATGGAAAACGTGGTTCTTTTTAACATCTCTCCCTTCAGCAGGTGGTCTGGGGGTGGAGGCAGGAATGGCCACAGCCTCACAAATAGCTGCTGGTCTTTTCCCATCTTTGTTCCTCTTTCTCGTTACTCCACTGACAGCCACAGTCCCCTGAGGAGGAGTGAGAACGTTAGAACAATTGAGTTTCTCTGCTCCAGGCCTGTCGGCATCCAATAAGCCAAGAACTCGACAACTCCGCCTGGTTCTACTTCAGCTGCTGCAAAAGGAGCTGCTGGCAGCGAGGACTACTGGGGCAGAGCTATTCAAGTGAAAGATTTAAATCAGCTGGCAGATACTACTTTCTCCTTTCAGCAAGCAAATTCTATGTGTGTGTGCGCACATGTGCCCATACACTCCTTATAATTTGACTTCTGATCTTCCTATTTTAAATAAGAAGATTCAGGAATTTTCTGATATGTGACATTAAAAAATGATCACAGAAATCATACCCACATTGCCATTGCACTTTACAATTTTTAAAGTACTTTTATAGCTGTGACTTCATAATGGCCATGTAAAACAAGCAAAGTCGGCATTATAATAACCCAATTTTAGAGATAAGCAAACTGAGATTCCTGGATGTAATTTGTCACTATAATATGACCTATAAAAACCCAACATATACTATTCCAAAGCTATTTTTATGTCATCTAAGTCATGCAGTTTGAGGAAAGAGTTCATCTTTGCCTATCCAAGTTGAGGTGCTTTATCTTCAAAATCAGGAAGTCCCTTACTATAGAAACTGTCATTGATTTTCAACTGTTCTGAAATAGAAGCTGAGGTCAAACTGCATCCCCAGATTAATCAAGTAAAGAATATTAGTAGCTAATATTTATTTTGAGCTTTTACTATATGCTAGATACTAGTTAATTAACATACTCATTTGATCCTCATAGCAACCCTGTTTTATATGTTTTACTAATGAAAGAAAGCTACAAAAAGTTTAAGTAATTTGCCCAAGGACACACAGAATCCATATTTAAAACCAAGGAGTTTGAGTTCAGAGTCTAAGAGAGCTCAGTAGTTGGGTTGATCAGACAAACCAATAATTCAGAATAGTGGGACTAAGAATGATCTATCCTGTACTTAGGGGCCAGGCATGGTGGCTATCATCTGTAATCTGAGGCTGAGGCTTGAGGATGACTTGAAGCCAGGAGTTTGCCATCAGCTTAGGCAAAGACAGCGAGACTCCATTTCAGCAAAAAATTTAAAAAATTAGCCAGCCATGGTGGCATGTGCCTGTAGTCTCAGCTACTTAGGCGGCTGAGGCAGGTGGATTGCTTCAGCCCAAGAGTTCAAGGCTGCAGTAAGCTATGATTGTGCCACTGCACTCCAGCCTGGGTGACAGTGCAAAACCCTCTCTTTAAAAAAAAAAAGTCTGTTCTACTCAAGTCTTGTAGACTAATAAAAGGTTTGATTCCCACAAAGTTAAAACAATTTTAAATCTGGACATACCAAATAGCTTCAAAGTGTACAAAGTAAAATTTGACTGAACTCACCACAAAACAATAGACAAATTCACAATTATAATGGAAGATTTTAATTTTCAGCTCTCTCAGTGATTGGCAGAAAAAAAAATTAGTAAAGAGATAGAAGTGGCCAAAACAAGGAATAAACTTAACCAAATTAATATGTGTATATGTGTACATACATAAAGCAGTCTACTCAATAGCAACTGTGTATAACAATATTTTTTAAAATACAAAAATTTACCATGTGCTAGATTTTTCATACTTTAGGTGTGAACAAATTTTAAAGGACTGAAATAATACAGGGTATGTTTTTTGATGACAAGCTAATTAAGCTATAAATAAATAACAGAAAAGTTAAATAGAAAATTCTCATTAGTTTGGAAATAAATAAATATACTTCTAAATATTCTATGGGTCAAAGAAGAAATCACAATGGAAATATGTGAATTGGATGACATTACATATAGAAGCTAATGAAATGTACTTAAACCATGCATGGAAGGAAAGAGTAGCTATAAATGCATATATTATAAAAGATAATGTTGAAAATTAATAAGCTGATATCACCAGAAGTTATAACATAAACAGCAAATTAAATCCAAGGAAATTAGAAAAATTGAATATTTAGATGAGAAAAAAATAAAAATACAAAAAATATGTATAAAATAGAGAAACTCACCAAAGGCAAGAGTTCATTCTTTGAAAAGTCTAATAAAATTTAACAAGTTAAAAAAAAACCAATATCAAAAATAAAAAAGGCAACATTACTGCTGATTCTGTTATTAAAAATTAAAAGATAACGTTAGAATATTATGAACAGCTTTATGCCAAAAGTTAAAAATTTACAGGAAATGAACAAATTAATGAAAAATAAAACTTACCAAAGATGAAGAAGACAATTTTAATGTTCCTGTATCTACTAAAGAAATAGATTTTTTGAATGAAAAGCCTTCCACCTTCCCTAGGAGATCTATTTCTATTCAGTTTGTAGAAAGCCACAAGAGAATGTCACTCCTACCATAACAATGAGAAAAAGGCAGGTAAATCTGCAAAATGATAACTTTTTTGAGCCCATCAAAGAGCTGAGTTTTCCAGGAAAAGAGGTAGAATGAATTCCGAAGAGTGATGAGCCCCTTTAAGGAGAGATAGTTCGAACAAACGGTTTCACCTTCAGCAGAATCCAAAAGCTGCCATCATAAAAGTGGATGAGAAGAAAGCAGAAACTTTTAACAAATTCATAAAGGCCAAGTGTAGACTATCATGACAGTTCAGAATATTCTGGAGTTCCACACTCAATGGGAAGTCTGTACTCAAGCTCTTATCCATGAGTCTCCACTGGATACACACAAGAAATATAGGGGGCAGGGCAGAAAACTAGAGACAGCCACATTTAGTGGTGCAGGCATGCCAGAAGTAATCAGCTGCCACTGGGGGGCAGAAACAAAACCCTGTCCATTTCCCAGATCTTCGTCTCATAAGAGGTATAAGCCTTAAGTTGCTAGAAGAGGAAACCCTCCCATTTCTGGAGAACAGGCAGAGATTCACCACTTGCTGGGGAGGGGTAGAAGCACACCTATCTGCCTCTGGAGGAAGAGTAGAAAACTCTCATAGCACTTGCTCCGAAAGACCCAACCAGATGCAACGCACAGTTTGGCTGTCCTGAGGAGGGGTAGGTAGAATGGTAACAATGAGACACTTCCATTCCCAAGAGGTGGGGTAGGTAGAATGGTAACAATGAGACACTTCCATTCCCAAGAGGTGGGGTGGGTAGAATGGTAACAATGAGACACTTCCATTCCCAAGAGGTGGGGTAGGTAGAATGGTAACAATGAGACACTTCCATTCCCAAGAGGTGGGGTAGGTAGAATGGTAACAATGAGACACTTCCATTCCCAAGAGGTGGGGTGGGTAGAATGGTAACAATGAGACACTTCCATTCCCAAGAGGTGGGGTAGGTAGAATGGTAACAATGAGACACTTCCATTCCCAAGAGGTGGGGTAGGTAGAATGGTAACAATGAGACACTTCCATTCCCAAGAGGTGGGGTAGGTAGAATGGTAACAATGAGACACTTCCATTCCCAAGGTGATCCAAATGCACAGGGCCTGCTAAAGACAGAAGCTGGTTGAGGAGAATCAAGAACACCCCCTGCCTCCACCATGAGCCTCATACCAAGTAACACACAAGGTCAGTCTACTACTGGGGAAGAAGCAAGAAAAAGACCCTTCTGTGGTCACTGAAAGCTAAGAGAGAAACAAGAACATTTGGAAAAATCCACTAGCACCATAGATACCACAATATGAAGAAAACCACCAGCTCTTCACTGGAGGAGATAGAAGTCTGGGTGCCCCTAAGGTGACTATAGCAAGCAACAACCTAGTTGAACAACTGACTAGATTAACTGACATACACACACACACACACACACACACACACACACACACACACACACATGCTGATGGACTGACAGGAAAAGAAGTGATCCATTTTCAGGGATAAATATTATTTATCTTTGTTTCTACTGTTTTTCTTAAAATATTCTTCATTTGATGAATAGCTATAAAATACACAAAAGCTAAACACATGAACAAATAAAAAGACTTCATTGTTAAGAGATAAATCAATCAACAGAAACAGACTAAGAAATGACCCAAATGTTAAAGAATTATCAGATAGGACTTTATCATAGCTATAACTGATAAAAGATCTGTTGGGAAACGTGGACAACTTGCATGAACAGATGGGAAATTTTAGCAGAGAGGTGGAAATGATTTTCAAAAAATCAAGTGGAAATGCTAGAAATGTTTAAAAGAAACCCATGTTATCAAAGATGAATTCCTTTTACATACTTAAAGGGAAGGTGGACATCATTGTTGAGGAAAGAACTGTGAACTTGAAGATAGGTCAATGATTAAAACAGGACAAAAAGAAAAAAAAAGAATTAAAAAACCCAAAACAGTAAGAGCTGTGAGACAGTTATCAAATGGAATAAAAATACATCATTAGAATTCTAGAAGGAGAGGAGATAGAGAAACAGATATAAGAAGTAGCTGAAGAGATAATGACTGAGAATTTTTAAAAACTAATAAAAAATGACAAAGCAAAGATACACAAAATTCAAAGCATCTCAAGGAGGATGTCACACATGCACACACATACACACAGTATAGTCAAACTTCTGAAAACCAAAGATATAGGGAAAATCTTGAAAGCAGTCAAAGGAAAAAGCAACATTAAATGCAGTCGAACAAAGATGTGAATATCAAGCAGACTTTGGTCAGAAAGTAGACAAACCAGAAGACAATGCAGCTACTTCTTTAAGGTACTAAAAGAAAAAAGTCAACTTAGAACTCTATATCCAGTGAATACGTCTTTGAAAAATGAAGGCAGAATAAAAATTTTTTTCAGACAAAAAAGCTAATAGAACTCATTGCCTGGAGACTTGGACAATAAGAACTATTAAGGGAAGTCCTTGAGGCAGCAGAAACATACCAGATGGAAATGAAGAGCTCTAGCAATACACAAAGAAATGTCGAGCTTTAGAAATAGTAAAAATAAAGGTAAATATAAAACAGTTTTTCTTACTTTGTATTATTTTATAAGAAATACATTTTGAAAATAAAATATTCTGTCTGAAGCAAAATAGTAACAGTGAATTTTGGAGTTTATAACATATGCAATAGTATGACAAAAACAGCTTAAAGTATGGGAGGCAGAAAATAGAACTATAATGTTACCAGGTTCTTATGCTATATCCAAAGTATCCTACTATTATTTGAAGTAGGCTTTGATAAGTTAATGTAAATATGGCAATCCCTAGAGTAAGAACTAAATAAATTAGAAAAGAGGTATAACTAATAAGCCAATGGTAAATATAAAGTGGAATTATGCAATATAATTTCAAGCCAATGGTAAATATAAAGTGGAATTATGCAATATAATTTAAAGACAAAATAGGAAAACAGAAAAAAAAGAATTAAAACAGGACAGTATAAACAAGACAGTTGATTTAAATCCAACCATATCAATAATTACATTAAATGTAGATTGACTTAATGCCCCAAATTAAAAGGCAGAGATTGTCCAATTGAATACAGAAAAACAAAATCCAATGATATACTCTCTACAAGAAACCAGTTAAATAGAAAGGAATATGTAGGCTAAAAGCAAAAGGATGGGAAAAGATATGCCATGAAAACTCTGATAAAAAAAAAAAAGTAGAAGTGGCTATACTAGTATTAGAAAAATTAGATTTTAGAACAATGAATATTACCATGGCTAGAAAGAGACATTACATAATAATATTATATGTTTATCAGAAAGACATAATCCTGGGTATGTACATAAAAACAGAACTTGAAAAACATGAAGAAAAACCTGACAGAAGTGAAAATCATATTTGGAGACTCTAATACTCCTCTCTACATAATTAAAAGAACAAGTAAACATAAAGTTAATAAGGATATAGCAAAGCTGAACAAGACTATCAACAGTTTGAGCTAAGTGACATTTACCGAATGCTCCTTCTGACAATAGCAGAATACAAATTCTTTTCAAGTATGCGTGGAACACTCATTAAGATGAATTATATTCTGTGTCATGGAATAAATCTTATGCATTCAAAATTATAGAAATCTAATGAATTATCTTCTTTGACAAGAACAGAATTAAATGAGAAATCATAATAAAAATCCTGAAAATATATCTGAAAATCCCTACATATTTGGCAATTAAACAACACATTTCAGAATAACACATGAGTCAAAGGGGCACTCAAATGGGGAAATAAGGAAAAAATTTGAGTTGAACAAAAATGAAGACAAAACATATCAAAACTTGTGGGACACAGATAAAGCCACACTAAAAGGGAAATCTATAGCATTAAATAGTTACATTTGAACAAAGCTTTCAAATCAATGATCTAATCGTCTACCTTAAGAAACTTGAAAATGAAGAGCAAATTACCCAAGCAAACAGAAGGAAGGAAATATGAAAAGAAGAAATAAATGAATTTCAAAACAGACAACTAATAGTGAAAATCAGTGAAACCAAACTTGATTATTTAAAAAAATAATAATATTGCTAAATCTTTAGACAGACTTATCAAGAACAAAAAATGTATATGTAGAGAGAGGACACAAATTACCAATATCAAAGCAAATCCAATGAAAATCCTAGCAGAAGTTTTTTCTTTGGTAGAAATTAACAAGATGATTATAAAATATATTTGGAATACAGAAGTTTTGAAAAAGAACAAAGTTAGGGGACCCTCATATCTGATTTCAATTTTTACTATGAAGCTATAGTAATCAAGAGAGTGTGATTTTGGAATAAAGATAGACATATCGGTCAACGTAAATGAACAGGGTGTCTAGAAATAGATCCATACATATATAGTCCATTGAATTTTGACAAGGCATCAGGGTAATTAAATGGAAAAACATGTCTTTTTGACATACTTTAAAAAAATGAACATTTACCTCACAACATATACAAAAATTAATTCAAAATCATAGACTTAAATGGAAAAGCTAAAGCTATAAAATTTCTAGAAGAAAATATAGGAAAACAATTATGACATTGGGTTAGGCAACATATTTTTAGATAAAACACTAAGAGCATGAACCATAAAAAAGAAAATTGGTAAATTAGACTTCAAAATGTTAAAATGTTTGCTCTTTAAAAGGCATGGTTAAGAAAATGAAAAGATAAGCCATAGACTGGGAGGAAATATTTGCATAATGCATATCTGATAAAGGACTGTATTCAAAATAAATAAACAACTCAATTCAATTATAAGAAAGCAATTCCATTTAAAAAAAAAGGCAAAAAATGTGAATAGATATTTTACCAGAGAAGAAATATGTGTAACCAATTTGCATATGAAAAGATGCTCATCATTATACCTCGCTAGAAAAATGCATATTAAAATCCCCAAACTAAAATGGCAGTTAAAAAAAAACAAACACAATACCGAGTGTTGGTACCGGATGCAGAGCACCAGGAACTTTCATACATTGCTGGTGAGAATGCAAAATAGCATAGCCACTTTGGAGAAACGTTTGGCCATGTTTTATAAAATTAAACATACCCTGCCCAAATGATGCAACAATCCCATTCCTAGGTATTTGCGACTGCTAGCTGCTTGCTCCTAGGCATGTCCACGTAAGGATCTGCACATGAATGTTTGTAGTCACCTTTTTATAGTAGACAAACCAGGAGCAGCCCAAAAGTCCATGTCCTGCTGAATGGACAAACAAATTGAATACATTCATTTACTTGACTATTACTCAGCAATAAAATAAACTACTGACACATGCGACAGCTGGACGAATCCCATAAGTATTATGCTCAGTGAAAGAAGCCGAACTCAAAAGGCTACAAACTATGATTCTGTGGATATGGCATTCTAGAAACGGCAAAATGGCAAGGACAGAAAACAGCAGCAATTGCCAGACTCTGCTATTAAAGGAAGAGAATTGACTAAATAAAAACATAGGGGACTTTCTGGGCAGTTGGAAATGTTCTAGATACTGATTCACAACTGTATACATTTGTCAAAACTCATTGAATTGTATACTTAAAAAGAGCATGTTTTACATTTTGTAAATTATATCTCAAAAATATTACTTTAAAAAATACTTTAAAATATCATTTCCACAAAGAAAACTAGAGTCCCAGATGACTTCACTACCAAATTGTACCACATATTTAAAGAAAAATAATGCTTACCTACAGAGGATAAAAACTCCCAAAGAAGAGAAAAAGAGTGAACTTCTATTAACTTATTTCTTCAGACAAATCTAACCCTGATTCCAAAGTCCACAATGACAGTATTACAAAAGGAAATTTATAGACCAATCTCACTCATGAATTGTGCAACAATCCCAAATAAAATATTAGCAAACCCAAACCAGAAATACATTAAAAAAGATAACACATCATAATCAAGTTGGGTTTATTCCAAGAATGCAAAACTAGCTTAATATTTGAAAATCAACCACTGCGAATCACAATTTGACAGAATAAAGAAGTAAAATCATACAATTATTTTATATCCATTTATAATTTTTGGAAACTCTAAGCAAAACCAACAATGAAGGCAAATTTCTTAACCAGTTAAGGTTATCTCTTAAGAACTTACAAAAACATAATTCTTAATGGTGATATACTGAAAGCTTTCCCTCTGAGGTCAGGATAAGGATGCCTGGTATACCACTTATATTTAAAATTTTATTGGTGGTTCAAACCAGTACAATAAGGCAATGAAAATAAATACAAAGTATAAGGATTGGAAGGCAAAAATTACAACTGTATTGCTTGCAATAATATAATTGTGTATGCAGACAAATTATTTAAATCTATAGATTATTGCAATAAATTCTGATTTATATTTATCTGATACAAGATAAATATAAAATATTTTTAAAATAATTATACTCCTATAGCAGCAACGAACATAAAATAAACTTAAAAATAGATATTGTATGCAACAGCGTATAAAATCGAATGAGACTAAATCTAATGACGATGTTCAAGGCAATGAAATAATATTGAGAGAAACTAAAGAAGACCTAAATAAATGGAGGAATTGAAATATATCAAGAATTAAAAGGAGGCAAAAGGTATGGAGAAAGCTTGATAAAGATATTATCTTCAACTTAATTGTTAGAGTCAGTAAAATTCAACTCAAAATCCCCTCAGATTTCTGTGGGTGTGTGTTTACATGGAAATTGACAAACTTATTTTAAAATTCATAGGGAAATGCAATTGCCAAGACATCTAAAGATGTACAGTGTGGAGGACTTACTTATTCTATAAAATACCAAGACTTATTCATAAAACTAGAATGTGTGGTATTAGTGTAAGGATAGAGAAACCAATGGAGGGTATTGATCCATGCATTTATTCAGGAATAGCACTGCAGACCAATTGGGAAATGGCGGTCTTCTATAAATGATGCTACATCAACTAGATATTCAAGTGAGGAAAAAATGCAACTTGATCCCCCCTCCTACCTTACACCACATACAAGAATAAATTCCAAGTGGATTATAGATTTAAGTGTGGAAGGTAAAACAATAAAGCTCCGTGAATATACATAGGAGGATTTCTTGGTGACCTTGAAGCAGATAAGGAATTTTGAAAACAGAACACAGACACCACTAATCATAAAGGAAAAGACTGATGAATGATACTACGTTAAAATTAAGCATGTGCTGGTCATCAACTTAAGTGTGAGCATAGTGGGAGGAATCGTTAATACAACCTGTGTCATCCTGATATAAGCAATGTCCTTTGTTTGCAGTGTCTGTAATTCGGAGCCCACAAGGAAACTCAAAGTAAGAAAAATTTCTCAGACCTCAAAGACAAAGAAACGAAAGGAGGTCAAATTTTTAAGACATTTATGCCATGTGCAAAACTCCACTTTCCATGGTCTCCCTTCTGGACACTCCTTTATAGACCCCTCCTCATCAAACTTGCTTAAGTTCTTCCGCACTGCAGCAGTAGACCATGGGTCTCCCAAGGTAGCAAAATATTTTATAGCAGCCTTAAAAGTTTGAGACACAGAGGGTGAAAGTCATTTACAACTGAAGAAACCATGACAAGTGCTCAGTGTCACACTTCGGTAACACTCCACAAAGCTTAAGTGCTCAATCATTGAAGTTGTGAGGTACAAAATGGAGTGTCAAATTGAGCCAGGGTTTAGATCAATGAAGTTATTACCTAAGCAACATTTTGAACATAAGAGAGGATGTACAGACTTCATCAGTGAAGTCCTGGAATTTTCTCTAAGGGCTAACTTCAGAGAGAGCAAATGGAATATTGATGCTACCTTGCCAAACACAATTTCCAGGTAACTTTATTCTCTGCTCCTCCTTTTTTCTCTTTCTCTTTCTTTCCTACTAACTTCCTTTTCTCTCTCTTTTACATTCGATTTCTAATTTTCTCCCTACTTTGTCTCTTTCTGTCTCTTGATCCCTACTTCTTTTTATCTCTATATTTCCAGCTCTTTCTCTTTATAGTACCCAATTTCTCATTTTCTAACTCTTTTTATAGCCATTCTCTGTCTTGATAATCTTTCTCCTTTTGCCTTTCATTCATTTCCTCTCTCTTACTAGCACTGTTGTTGTGGATCTCCTCCGGTCCCTCTCTCACCCTCTCTCTCCCAATTCCTGTTTTATTAGATTCCTGGGTAAAGGAGAGGTAGCATCAGAGCTGCCGTCCCCCTCATTCTCATTTTTCTCACCTTTGCAGACACATTAGCCCATAAAATCTCGTAATTCCCTCCAGATCCTTTCTCACAGATGCATGCCTGCCAGGATAAAGGGAGGGTTTGGGGATGGGTGTGGAGGACGACATCTTCTCAACACCCAGGGGAACTAGCATCAGCAGGAACAAGAGAGATGTTATTGTCAGGCTGTAAACACTCCCATGGTACTTCAGGGCTGTTAGATTTTGTACATAATAAGAGCTATGAGCTCACTGAGGTTTATTGACTTCTGAACTGCTGCATCCCTACGACACATGCTCCAAGCAGAATCCTGAGATGAGGCAAGGGGGAAGGAATAAGAAGGGGATGAAATCGAGCTTTCACTGTGTCTTAAATCCCTGGGCCAGGGCAAACTTGCTGCTGCGTGCATCTGTTTCTTTCTTACAAATTCCATATCATAACCTATGTTATTTTTTTCTTACACATTCATGTCCCTTTCTGTTATTAATAGAAAAAAAGCACAGAATCCAATTGCAGTGTGGTTCATTAAAACAATTTTAAAAATCACTTAAGCAATTAGCCAACAAGAGATCTTTTGAGTGAACGGTGTGCCTGAACGATTTATGAGTTGGCAAAGTCTTGATTGAATTAATTAATCAGGAGTTAATGTTTTAGCTGCCAGCCCCAGCTTGGATGATTGCTGCTGTCATTTGAAATCACTGATGGTTTGCTCGGATAGTCAGACATGATGTATCGTCTTGGTCAGAGACCCATCCTGCTCATTAGAGTAAGATACTCCTAGAAACAGGCTCAGAATCCATCTGTGTTAGAGCAGAGTAATCCATGAGGATAGCAAGCTAAAACCCAGGATAGGAAAGGGTTTAGGGCAGACCATTAGGGACCGCAGAACAGAAATGGGATGGAGGAAAGGCAGTGTAAGTGAGGGAGGAAGGAAAGACCGACAAGCAACGATGGTTGCCATCTTGATGAACGCTGTCTGCCAGGCACTTCCACGTGCTGTCTCAATCACAGATCTCAAAGTTCCTGAAGAGTGACTATTGATATTGCCATCCTATAGATGAAGAAATGTATTTTCCCAGGAGCTAAGAGAGGATGTTCCTCATGCCAGCTACTTTATGTGTCTTATCTCTGTTAATTATCACTCCCCTCCTTGAAGGGTTTTACAAATGGGAAAATGGAATAACTTGGGAGTTGAAAAACTTGATTAGGGTCAAAGAACTGGACAATGGCAGTGCTTGGCTGCACACATCTGCACTTCACCACTGCGTGGCCCTCTTCACATCCTTAGGAATGCAAGACAGAGGCCAGTGGAGGGAAAACCTGGCCTATCTCATGGTCTACCAAGTATCAGCCATGACTTGTAGCCACAAGGTGATTGCTCAAATCCAGCCTTCTATCATTGGCTTCCCAGAGGCTTAGCTGCAGGGAGGAAGCTAAATTTAAATTCTGCTTCTAGAATTTTCTGTCTCTGAGGCTTTTGGCAAGTCTCTTAAGCTCCTTGAGCTTTAGTCTTCTCAAGGGAGTAGCTTGCAGACTGTAGTGAGAATTAAGAGGAAGGATAGGTAAAGTATGCCCTGAACCAGGAGTTCATTTTATTCTTATAGCTATTACGTGCTGAATTTCATTGCCCCCAATTCATATGATGAAGTCCTAAACCCCAGTACCTGGGAATGTGTCTGTATTTGGGGACAGGGTCTTTGAAGAGGTAATTAAGCTAAAATGAGGTTATTTAGGGTGGGCCTGTTATGTTCTGGATGTTTCTGTCCCCCCAAAATTTACATGTTGAAACTGAATTCCTGATGTGGATAGTATTAAAAGGTGGGAACTTTGGGACGTGATTAGGTATGAGGGCTCTGCTCTCATGAATTGGATTAGTGCCCTTTAAAAGAGGTTCCAGGGAGCCTGTTTTCCCCTTCCACCATGTGTGGAAACAGCAAGAAGAAGGTGCTATCTATAAAGCAGAGAGTGAGCCTGCACCAAACACCACACCTGCTGGTGCCTTGAACTTGGACTTCCCAGCCTCTAAAACTGTAAGAAATAAATTTCTGTTGTTTATAAGCTGGCCAGTTTATGGTTTTTGTTGTTGTTGTTGTTGTTGTTGTTGTTGTTATAGCAGCTCTATAAGGGCTTAACCCAATATGATTGGGATCCTTATATGAAGAGAGATTAGGACACAGACACACACAGAAAGAATTCCAGGTGAGGACACATGGAGAAGGAGTCATCAGCAAGTCAAAGGAAAAGGCCTCAGGAGAAACCAATACTGCTGACACCTTGCTCTCACAATTCTAGCCTCCAGAATTGTGAGAAAATAAATTTGCTTTTAAAGCCATTCTGTCACTAGTACTTTATTATGGCAACCTGATCAAACTAATACAAGTAGCAAAACAGAACTGGAGAAGTCACCCAGTTTCCCCAATATCTTTTCAGTTTTCACCTTTGTATGTAGACAGCCTGCAGAAAGCTTATGTCTCATGGCCATGTCTATGGCAGCTCCCCTATAGTGGTCCCAGTTATTTTCCAGTATGCCCCCCTTTTTGGTTGACTGTCTTTTCCACCAGAATATAGGTTCCATAAAGATGGGTTTTGTTGATATCTCCAGAGCTACTCAAGTGCCTGACCATGGCAAGCATTTACCAAATGGATGCACAAGTTAATTAGTTGGTAATTAACCTCTTCAAAGTATTCAGAGAAAGAAGTGGAAAACACAGTCCCACCTCTCAGAGATGGTTTTGAGGATTAGGCTTCTACTAGTAAGTCAGTTTCTGATTTCTAGAAGTGAAGTACCCATCTCTGCAATATTTTGTGGAAAGTCTGAAAAAAAGAGCTGTCCTCTCTGCAAAGCATGTCATCTTTTCACACACATCTGTGTGCTCTGGACTTTTTGTTTCAATTTTTCTCCCTCTAAAAGTGACCCATGTAAGTCCATGGTGTTACTGTGCATGTCATTTTCACACCATCCTCCCCATGTGAGAGTCCAAAAGCTGCCTTAGTTGTCTTCTGAAGATTGATGATCAACATTCATTGAGAATGAAAATCGAGGAAGAACAATGCCCATGCAATCCTCTTTTAATTATCAATTTCTCCTTCTTTGAATAAATATATAGGAGGTTGTCCATAAGAGTGTGAGAAATTATATTTCAAAATAGATTATAAGGTCATATAAGTAGAACTTTCTCCTTCTTTTTTTTTTTTCTTTTTCTTGAGATGGAGTCTTGCCCTGTCGCCAGGCTGGAGTACAGTGGTGTGATCTCGGCTCACTGCAACTTCTGCCTCCCAGGTTCAAGTGATTCTCCTGCCTCAACTGTGACTACATGCGCATGCCACCACGCCCAGCTAATTTTTGTGTTTTTAGCAGAGATGGGGTTTCACTGTGTTGGCCAGGATGGTCTTGATCTTTTGACCTCGTGATCTTCCTGCCTTGGCCTCCTGAAGTATTGGGATTACAGGTGTGAGCCACCGTGCCTGGCTGACATTTCTCCCTCTTTTAAGAAAAATATAGAAAATTGTCCATAAGAATACAAGAAATATGTTAAAATGTATTATGAGGTCATATAAGTAGTGGCAGAGAGGAGATTGGTCTTCTTAATTATAGGGTGATACATATTTCTGAGCTGTTAGGAGTCTCAATTTTAGGGTTATAGCAGTTTCTGGGATACATGATTAAACAGAGAAAAAAACACTCCCTTCTCACTCTGTTGGCATAATCCTTCACCACTGATGGTGGTCTGCGTTGGCCATGGGGAATTATGCCCCTACCTGTCTCCTGCCTAGATTCTGAGACTCTTCAGAGAAGGAGCCAGGTTTACTCACCTTTAGAAACCTACTACCTACCTTAGCACTCAGCACTTGGGAGGGTTCATACATTGATTGCTGAATTGAAATGAGACAAAGGTGAAAGGTGCCCAGATAGAGGAAATTTTCTGGGGCTCTTTCTAAGGGAAGGAGTGAAGAGGAGACCTAAACATACTGCCAAGTGGAAAGTAGACAAAAGGGGCCCTGCCCAGGTTCCAGTCAGTGGTCAGCGATTGAATTGGCTCACATGGTGTAATCTGAGGACTCCTTTACCTTATACTTTATTTTGCTTTAGTGGAATTTCACAGCTCATACTTTAAGGTACGTGTGTGGAAAGCTTCATAGATGTCAGACTTCATTTGCTGTGTGCTTTGGCTCCCAGGTAAAAAGAAAAATATGAAGAGAACTAAGAGAATGACAACTTTATTAGCCACAGTGATAAATGAATCTTTCCTTATAGTGCCATATCCCCTCCCCCAAGGTGCCATGGCTATAGTATAATAAAAATACATGATACGAATACCAAAATAAAAATTTAATAAGGCCACAGTAATAAAATGGCAAAGATGCATGAAATGGTGCAGGAGTGGACAGGATTGTTTATAAATATGAGTAAAAATGGTTGTGGTGAATAGTTTTTTCCCTGTGTGTGTGTACATGCATGAACATGCGTGACTATGGATGTGTGTGGAATGGGAGAGCATGGAGTGGGGAGGGTGTTGGGAGGGTCTTACGAGTGCTCAGATTTTCAGGTCTTTTAAAGATGGTAATTGAGGAACTAAAGGAGAATACCAACAGGTCACAGAGATAAGATGCCTCACCTCTGATAGAGGCTAAACCATAGCTACCTGAGTCTGCTTGCACCTGGGGCCACATAACCTATTTGAAAGGCTCTTACTTTCCTTTCCTGACAAGATACATTTCTGACCTTTCTTCCGTTAAAAACTCTTCTCTGTTCACCACTGTGGTTTCCAGATGGAAGTGGGTAGAAATGGTAGCGGGAGTCCATGGGAATATAAGTTGTTGTTCCAACCTTTCAGAAAAGATGAAAATATTTATTAAGAGTCTCAAAAATGTACACATTGTTCATTTCAGCCATTTTCCTACTAACCTAGGAAAACAATCCAAATATAAACCAATAATTTTGTACAAGATTTTCACCCAAAAATCACTTATTAAATAAGAAAATTATCAGCAACCTAAAGTTCAAATAAGGGAATAATAATTACAGTCAACCACTGTATAAAATACTGTGGGTCCTCCAAAAGGATACTCACAAAAATTTCACACTAAAAAAATGTGAACTTCCTAGGAGATATTGTGATTTAAGAAGGATGATTTTTTTAAACTCCTTATTATACAATGACAAGTATGGAAAAAAGCAAAGAAAAAAATCGAAAAGGAAATAATCAAAATGTGGGCAGCAGTGGCCTCTGATTGATGAGGGTGCTAGGATTTTTTTCTGCTTTTTCAAATTTTATTGGACAGTTCTATTTTTCTACAATGGGCTTTTGTTATTTTGTAATCTGACAAAAAAAAATACAGATAAAATGGAGTAAGTACTCATGGGCAGCTGGTTGTTAGAAGGAGCTTCTCTTAGCCTTTATTCAGGGCCCTGGAGTTGTGTGGTTCTTGTTGGAGCCCTGCCAATGGTGGGGCTATCCAGGCCATGGCAGACGTTGTTTCTGCCCTTGTCTCCAGTGCCTTTAAAAAATCTGAAAGGTACACACAACAGAAATTGTGCAGCTCAATAAACTCACACAAAGCAAGCAGCAATGTAGCCTGATTCAGGTCAAAAAAAAGAACACTATAGCAGCCCAGCACCCTCATGCCCTTTCTGAATCACACTGTATCCCCCTCCAGAGCTAACCACTCTCATGATTTTCAGCACTATTTTAAAATTTCCTATTTGTTAAACTGTGTGATAGAATCATCCATTTTTACTCTTCTGTGTCTGACTTCTTTTGCTCAACATTATGCTTATGAGATTTCTTCGTGTCGTTGCATGTTAGCTGCAGTTTGTTCTGTTTCACTGCTGGAGTATGAATGGAGATTGTGGTATGACTACTTGTCGATTCTATTGCTATTCACCTAGCCTACTGTTGATGGACATTTTGGTTATTTCCAGTTTGGGGCTATGATAAATATTATGCTATTATGAACATTTTGTGCAGTCTCTTGCTGTACCTATGCATGCATTTCTGTGGGTTTATAACTAGGGAGTGGAAATGCCAGGTCAGAGGCTATGCATGAATTCAACTACTATAGGAATGACAATTTGTTTTCCAAAGTTGTAACAATTTACACTCCCACACACAGTAGATAGGGATGCCTAATGTTCCACATCCTCATGAACATTTAGTATTATCTCTCTTTAATTTTAGTCATTCCAGAGGGTGATTAGTAGTATAATATTGTACATTTCAGTTGCATTTCATTGATTGCCAGTGAGGTTGAGCTGATAAACTCCTGGAAAAACTAATGAAGGCAAAAAAAGAGAAAAAGCACAAATAACTAATATCAGGAATGAAAAAGAGCCCTCACTACAGATACCTAAGAAATCAAACAGACTGTGTCTGTCAATACCAAGAGATTTACGGAAATTTTCTCTCTGCTTTTCAGGAATATTTGATTTAGTTCTTTTAGCCTCTTCCTTCATGATAGATTCAGAATTTGGCAAATTTTTGGATGGAAAAACTAAGTGTGTCTAATGTTTACACTCCAGGATCACAGGATTTCCAAAAGCTCTTACAGTTTCTCTTCTCCTCCCTGCTCCCACCCTTTGCCCACCCTCAGTGGCCTTGCCAAGGGAAAGCACTGATTCGCAGCCTCTAGCTTAGGCACAGAATCAACCAGTGCCCCAAAGAGAAAAGACAGTGGCTTATCTTTAGCTCACTTCTGAAAGTTTCTCCTCTTTCTGGAATTTCAGTGGCTTTGGACTTCCCTGCTTTCAAAGCTCTCTTAAAAATATGATTTATTCTCAGCAAGAACATTGGCCTGCCGCTAATTGCTCTGTCTACCTAGAGGTGGTCTGATTGAGTACTTCTCTTTTTTGTTATTTCAATTTTCCCCTCCATTAGTATTCTTTCTGTGATTATGTACAGATTATAGCAGGCATCCTTGACTTATGAAAATTTAAAGTTAAATGGCACTTATACCCTATTTGTGGACATTGCAAAAATACCCATGAATATTTGACTTTATTAAATGAACAATTTTAATTTAAAACAATTTAATTTCTCTTCTCCTTTCCTGACTTCTTGGCTACTGTTTCCATGTTCTTTGCTACTCTTTCCATGTTTTATTTTCCTATGTATTTGAAATGCCAATAATATCTTTATTATCATTACTATTTTATGCAATTAATATTCATTTAGATTTGTCTACATGCTTATGATTTTCACTATTCTCCTTCTTTTTTCCATTATCTCTGGCCTTCTGCCTGGGATCACTTTCTTTTGTCTTACAGAATGCCACTGAACAATTCCTTTGGTGCAGGGCTGGTGATGAATTCCGGGACATTGTTTGTCTGAAAATGCTTTTAATTTAGCTTCATTCTTGAAGGATACTTTCTCTGGGTACACAATTCTAAATAGTCAATTTATTTTTTTCTGCATTTTAAAAGATATCACAATGTCTTCTGGACCTCATTGTTTCATTGGGAAATCAGCTATAAGCATTATTGGTGCCCTTCTGAAGGCAATATATATTTTTTTGCACTTCCGGCTGCTTTTAACATGTACTTTTTTCCCTCTGATTTTCAATTCTCTTTTCAATTTCTATTTATAGGGTTTTTTTCATTTATCCTGTTTGGTGTTCTATAGGCTTCTTAAAATAGTGACTTTTTGTCTTTAATCAGTCATTAATGTCATTAATTTTTTCAAATACTGCTTTTGCACTATTTCCTGTCTATTCTACTTTTGAAAATCTATTATGATTTTCTCTGTCCTCTATGTTTTCTGTGACTCTTATGTCCTGGTTTTCCCAGAATAGCCATGGCTTATGCCTATTGACATTGTGTATCACTCTATTTAGCATATGTTTATATTCAATAAAGTATTTTTATAAATAATTACATTAAAATGAGCCAGGATGATTTAGAAGGTCTCCATATGTCAGCCGCCATGAACATTGATAATATGAGAGATTGATGTGAAATTATCAGAATTTTCACTCTACTAGGTCAAATCTGAAATAAGAATAACTACAAGCCATCTATTTTTTTGAACCTTTCCAGATATGATTCAATAAACTCCTTCCTTTTAAAGACAATATGCAAGGAGCTTTTGGTGGGGAAAAAATGTGCTCTGTACCAATGAGGTAGAGACAGCTAACTTCTTTTGGTCTCTAACAGTGATGGCAGAAGTATTTGATATTGCAATCCTAGTTGATTACTTGGTCATCAACCAAGTGGGCTTTTCCCCATGCTGTGGCCTGTGCAGGGTGTAAAGCTGCCAGGTTCCAGCCAACGGAGTCAATGGGAATGTGGAAAATTATAGATTAAACACATATGATCTATATGTAGGAAATAGAGACTGAACAGGCCTTTAGTAAAGCAAAACATCATAGTCTGAATGCTCTTGCCACTGTGGTTTTGTTGTTATTGCATGGAGTAAGTTTAGAACTCTTCATTTTATTATTTGGTGGTGCATTTTAATGTTACAATGACACTTTAATCAGAAATGAGCTAAAACAATAGGAAGTATATGTTTAATCAAAAAATTAAGTAATAAATTTCCATTTCTCAAGACAGTTGATGATCAATATGTAAGTTATACAAAATGCTTGTCAACATTTAACATCAACCATAAGGGCTGTATCACTGACCGCATGGAACCAAGAAGATCTAAGTCAGGTGAAAAGGCATCAGCATCTATTTCAAAAGTTAGGCCGGGCGCGGTGGCTCACTCCTATAATCCCAGCACTTTGGGAGGCCAAGGCAGGTGGATCGCCTGAGGTCAGGAGTTTGAGACCAGCCTGTCCAACATGGTGAAACCCTGTCTCTACTGAAAATACAAAAAAATTAGCCGGGCATGGTGGTGCAGGCCTGTAGTCCCAGTTACTTGGGAGGCTGAGGCAGGAGAATCACTTGAACCCAGGAAGCGAAGGTTGCAGTGAGCCAAGATTGCGCCACTGCACTCCAGCCTGGGTGAAACAGCGGGACTCTGTCTCAAAAAAAAAAAAAAAAAGAGTTCATAGTTATTTTAGTTCCTTTAAGGTTACTTGAAGAAAATTGTGTTTCAAAAATGACAATCTAATAAAGGCAGGAGCAAAAGGTTTGGTTACATATTACTTTATGAAGAAAGACTTTTATTTAGATCAAATAACTGGTGTTCTAAATTAATTTTACTTACAATTCCACGTTTTCTTGATCATATTTGAATAGTAAAATGATAGTGATTTGTGTTGTTCTGGCAGAAGAGAAATTTTGCAAACCGATAATAATACCAGCGTTATAATGGTGTCATCAGATTCTCCAAACAGAAAATAATTACAACAATGATGTAATTTTTCTTTTTTCATTTTTTTTTTTTTTTTTTTTTTTCTGAGACAGAGTCTCGCTCTGGCACCCAGGCTGGAGTACAGTAGTACAAACTTGGCTCACTGCAACCTCTGCCTCCCGGGTTCAAGCGATTCTCCTGCCTCAGCCTCCCGAGTAGCTGGGACTACAGACGCCCGCCACCTCGCCCAGAAAATTTTTGTATTTTTTAGTAGAGATGGGGTTTCACAATATTGGTCAGGCTAGTCTCAAACTGCGGACCTCAGGTGATCCACCCATTTCGGCCTCTCAAAGTGCTGGGATTACAGGCGTGAGCCACGGCGCCCAGCGGCAACGACGTAATTTTTCATACACTTTCAAAGTATAGCTTCTGGAAGTTCACTCTGTCGATGAAACACTTGACATTATTGCAAATGCTATTGTAAATTCAGTATAAAGCCTCAATATTAAAAATAAAGGGATTTGGCCGGGCGCGGTGGCTCAGGCCTGTAATCCCAGCACTTTGGGAGGCCGAGGCGGGTGGATCACGAGGTCAGGAGATCGAGACCATCCTGGCTAACACGTTGAAACCCCGTCTCTACTAACAATACAAAAAAATTAGCCGGGCGTGGTGGCGGGCGCCTGTAGTCCCAGCTCCTCGGGAGGCTGAGGCAGGAGAATGGCGTGAACCCAAGAGGCGGAGCTTGCAGTGAGCCGGGATCGAGCCACTGCAGTCCGGCCTGGGTGAAAGAGCGAGACTCTGTCTCGAAAAATAAAATAAAATAAAATAAATAAATACATAAATAAATGGATTTGTTTTTGAAGTGATAAGAGAGATACATGTTTTTATGAAGCACAGCATTGTTTTAGAGACAATTATGTTACCAATAAAGAAACTGGTAGAAATCATATTTGGCACTTGTTTTGGTTCACACATATTTTTTGATTATATGTATCCAAAAAGTCTATGATGCCTGTCAACGAAATAGAAGTGATAGTCATAAAAATTTTTTTAAAAAGAGTATACAGTATAGAGTAATTGAACCACAAAATTTAATGTAGAAAGCTGATATGGATAACAAAATTCCTTCATCAGGGAAGTCTGAACATTATTGGCCAATATTAATCAGATATTAGAAATACATAAACCTTTGATAAATTAATTTGTAAATTAACCTAAGTGTTTAAAAATGGTAGTGGGTGAAGTCATTTGTAAATAAGTCCTCTAAATTTGGGGTGCTTTCTTCCCCCAAATCAATTGGAAATCTTTACTCCCAGGAATCAATGCATAGAGCATCAAAAAATGTGTTAGAACTTTTTACACGTCCAGAGAATTGTATTCATTCAAAATAAGATTTGCAAATAAGCAGATAATAAATTTACCTACGAAAATGAGGGAAGCCATAAATGAATTAAAAGAACAGTGTACAAGATTTAGTTTTTAAATTCTATAATTAAGCTTTGGAATATTTTAAGTATTTTGATGAAGTTCTTATTTTCAACTCGATAAATTTTATTTTACTGGAATGAAATGAAATTGAGAAAGGCTATAATTTTTATAGCACGTAAATTTTCGCTAAACATTTAAAAATTATGACGGGATAACGTACTTGACAAATTTGGTCTTGTAAAAATTTTGTCAAAGAAAGGCACTCTGAATAGAGGTAGAAAGACAGCACCTGTGTGAATGTTGAGTTTGAAACATTTACATATTCAAGGCAAAAATGATTGCTAGTGAGGATATCCTTTCTTTAGCAGAATGTAGAGCTTACCAGGTACCTCAGCACCTGTAGGGAGAGTACTTTCTTAATTAAAAACTTCATGGTCTACAGCAAAGTGTCAATTAAAGATGTCAATAACTTCAAATTAATTAACCTTCATATGCAACTTTGAAAATCACAGACAATTTTGTGAAAGAAATTTAAAATAGTAAGAGCACACAGAAGAAAACTCAAAAAAATCTTTTAGAAAAGTAACCGTAACAAAGTATTAGATGCAGATATGGTTAATAATCATAACCAACAATACCAATTAAAGTGTGTGAATATGTGTCACGAATAATTCTTTTGCTTGTATTATCTTTAGCGTTCAAATCAGTATAAAGAAGTTATTCTTGAATTTGCTTCAATGTACATGAATATATGCTGTTTTTATATTTATTTATTTATTTATTTATTTATTTATTTATTTATTTATTTTTGAGACGGAGTCTCGCTCTGTCACCAGGCTGGAGTGCTGTGGCACGATCTCAGCTCACTGCGGCCTCTGACTCCCTGGTTTAAGCGATTCTCCTGCCTCAGCCTCCTGAGTAGCTGGGATTACAGGCACGCGCCACCATGCCCAGCTAAGTTTTGTGTTTCTTTTTAGTAGAGACAGAGTTTCACCATATTGGCCAGGATGATCTCCATCTCCTGACCTCATGATCCACCCACCTCAGCCTCCCAAAGTGCTGGGATTACAGGTGTAAGCCACCGCTCCTGGCTGCTATTTTTAATTTCTAGGAAGATTTTCTTGTAAAATAATTTTTAATATAGAACTACCCTATAGATCCAACAATATAAGAAACTAATTTTCAGTCAGTAAATCAATAATTTTAATCATTTTAATTTACTCTCAAAATTGTATTGATTTAACTGTAAATTATATAAATTATATGGTCATGTATCCATATGTCTCTTCTGCATTTTAAAATTTCTTTTTTGAGAAAGGGTCTTGTATGTTGCCCAGGCTGGTCTTGAACTTCTAGGCTCAAGCAAGCCTCCCCATGTAGTTGGGATCAAAGGGACATACCACCATGGCTTCTTCTGCATTTTCTCTCCTCAGTCTCTGGTGTCCTGAGCTCTATACCAATTCTTACCCTCTCTCCCCATGAACAAATTGCTTTACAGAACGTTTCAGGTATCAACTCATTCATACAATTTTGTATTATAGAATATACAGCTTTATGCAATTTTTTCAACTTTCTGAGTGTGTGAATTCAATATATTCCTCATTCATTCACTCATTCATCACTTTCCTACGTTCCAGATGCTGAGGGTGCTGAGAAACATGAGACAAGGCCTCTGCCCTTGAGAAACTCAATCAGTAGGCATGTTTGGGGGAGGCGAAGGCACCCTTCCATTGTTCTCAAATCTGAGGTCCTCTTTCTACAGGTCAGGTGGCCCTGCAGACTGTAAGACAAGTGAAGCCCGATGACGACAAAGTGCATTCCCTGGATCACCTGCCTACCAAAAAGAAAAGAAAAATAAAACAATTACAGGCAGACCCTCATCCACACATTTAGTTCTCCAGGATCACTGAGGTGGTGGAGTTGCAAAATCTCACAGGCCCAGGGCCCACAGGCCTGGGATGGGTGTTGCTCCATGGGTAGGTGCTTCCTCCTCTGCCAACCTCACCCCAGCCAGCTGCTACTGCTGCCTCTCCACCCACCCCTGGGTGCTGCAGCCAGCAAGGTCCTTGTCCCTCACTGCCTAAATGCTGTGCTTACCCTTTTGGATAGCAGCACAGAATTATCTCTGGATACCAAGAAGCCAAAGTCAAGGTCATTCTATCTACCTGTGCCCTGGGCTTGGGTTATTTCTTGCAAGTCTGGAGTTATAATTTCCACAGTACAGGGTCATGCGGCAGACAGACAGTACACACTCCATTCCCAGAAAATGCCCTTCCTCACTCTTACCATCGTAACCACACAGCTTCTGTGCCCCCCAACCCAGCCCATCCCACCAGACTGAAACTCCTCAGACTGCCTCTCTCTGCTACACTCAGCTTCTTCCTAGGACAAGTCTCTTTTCTTCCTTTACCAACAGCCTGGGTTGTTTCACAAACTCTCTTTGGTTCCTGTGTCTCCCCCGCCCCCACACCCTGCTCTCCTTTTTTAAAGTCTGCTGTTCTGCATTGTTTAATAAAGATGCCAGTCAATATCATAATGGGAAGCATATAAAAAAACCCCACAGTGCTAGCTACTAAAAAATGTAAATTAAATGCATAAAAGTCTGTGTTAGGAATTTTTAAAGAAAACAGAAGAAAGAAAAGGAAATAGTAGAGAATGAAGGCCAAACAGACCTAATGCTGACAATGAAGAACATTCTATACAAAAATGTAGTAGAAAGGTAGGACTGATGGAAGAGGAGAATGTGCCTGTCATTTCTCAGCTGGGGAAATGATGCTTTGCGGCACCTCGCCTGGTCTCTGCCTACCCTCGCCTGGGAGAAAAGACTGGTAGAGAACACGTTTGAGATACACATTTTCCAAAGGTAGGTGAGGCCTGGCGTGAGTTGTGTAACTCCCTGGGCATCAAAGTAACCTGGAGCCCCGGGGCAGAAGCCACTGTCCTAATGGGCTAATTCTTCCATCAGTGCAGTTCGCAGGATGCTGTGCCAAGTGCACTGAATCAGCAATGCCAAGTTCAAGCCCCAAGTCAGCTCCAAGGCTCCTCAGGGACCTTGGAATTGTGACCTGTTTTTAATCCTTTTTGCTTATTCACCTTTTGTGACTTCCGCACCATGGACATAACTTACCTGTAAAAATTTTTTGAAGTTATTTTTGAAGGAGAGACGTTCTTTGATTTTATTTATCATATACTTAAATACTACTAACCCTATGTCTGGCCATAGTCTAAGCACATTTCACACACAAACTCAAGCTTCACATTTCACACACAAAGTCAGTCTTCACTCTTAAGGAGCCATTATTTTTGCCCCCATTTTACAGAAGAGGAAAATGAAGCACAGGGAGATGAAATGATTTGCCCACGGTCACTCAGCTAGTAAGTCAGACTATGAATAGAGCTGTCTGGCTTCAGAGTCTTTGCTTCTAAACTGTAAGTCACGCTGCCTTCCATGTGAAAAGACTGATAACACTGGCTAAAAGGTTAATGGAGTAAAAAGATTTTCAAGAGATTGTAACAAATGAGTGAATTAGAGCCAAAGCAGAAAGAGCACGTGGAGCATTTTATATCACAGCACGCTGGTGAAAAGCAGTCTGGAATGGCACGGGGCATCTGCCCGCTATCAGGTGTGGTCAGGAGAAGACACAGCAGCGCACAGGCTGTTGGGCACCAAGAGAGAAAACATTTGGTGCAAATTGGCAAAAGTGATGAACAGTAGAGAACATGGCCAGGTGAAATACTGTTTCCCAAAGAAAAGGACAATAGAAGGACCCCATCAGGATATGGGCCTCGAAACAGTTGGGGATGTGTCCTGTGAAGAGCTGGGAGGGCCGGTAATGAGAAAACAGGCTGGAGAAGAGGATAGAAAAGAAGAGAATATAATGAAGATTTAATTTTGGTGTTCATGAGGAATAAATGCAACCAAGTCTGAAAATGTGTGCTTTGATCTGGAAGTTGTTTATAATCTCGTTCAACTTCTGAGTATTGTCAGGATTCGACTCTATAAGGATCATTGAGTTCACAGCAGCAAAGCCCTTCCAGCTACTGAAGTGACGAAACAGGAGAATATGACCTTCATTAACTCTTCCCAGGGAGAATGGTGCCTGGGCACTCTTAATAGCACTGGGAAGGCCCGCCTGGTAAATGAATTAGACGCCACTGAGCATTCACCAGAATAAATTTCTTTTTTTTCTTTTTTCTTTTTTTTTTTTTTTTGAGATGGAGTCTTGCTCTGTCACCCAGGCTGGAGTACAGTGGCATGATCTCAGCTCACTGCAACCTCCACCTCCTGGGTTCAAGCCATTCTCCTGCCTCAGCCTCCCAAGTAGCTGGGATTACAGGTGCCCACCACCACGCCTAGCTAATTTTTGTGTTTTTAGTAGAGACGGGGTTTCACCATGTTGGCCAGGCTGGTCTTGAACTCCTGACCTCGTGATCCACCCACCTCGGCCTCCCAAAGTGCTGGGATTACAGGCGTGAGCCACCACGCATGGCCCAGAACAAATTTCTTTTGCCATGGCTTCCACCAAACGTTTTTCATGGCCCCTGTATCCCTCCCTTTCCTCCCTAGTCTTAGGGTCACTACAGTAGATGAGTCATTAAATCTTTTCCAGTAGGAAGTTAAAGGAATAATCGATTCTTCATTTCCACTCATTAAGGCAATACTATGTTATATTATAAGGACTAAATGAGGACATTTGCAAGCCTGTTGGAATGCCTTCATCTCATGCTCCCTTTTTGGTTGTTAGCAGTTTTTCCTGGAGTTTTTGCTTCCCTTGTCCTTGCCAACTTCCATTTATTCCTTTTTATTCTTTGTCATGTTATAGCTGAGTTTGGGGACTTAGGTTATTCACATATATTTTTAAATCAATATATGGTTTTCTGCTCTAAACAATATCAAAAAATAGATTTATCTTTTGGCAAGAGAACAAAATGTGATTTAGTACTGGCGCTTGATAAACTACATACGTTTGGCCATAAAGGATAACATCTATGATGTTCTTGGCTAATAATTTGTCTCAAGTGGAATTCACAGCTTTTGATAAATTAATAATCTTGTTTGACAGATTAATTATATTGCCACCCCTGAGCTCACAGAAAAACAGGTTTATCCAAATGCTTCCAGTGTCCTTTGTGGTTCTTACAAACCAACAATTTCCTTCTTTCCTTTTTCTGGAAGAAAAAGCAAACTCTTGGGGAAGGCAATATATATCTCTGACCTTTGGATCCTAGCAGCCCTTACACTCAGGAGGAACTGAGTGGCAATGCAGGTGACAGACACAAGGCTGGGTTATAAGGATTAGCATCTCAGATTGTTGGGGAAATATCTGTGAATCTAATCCTTGGTTAGGAGACCACGGGTGCTCCCATGCCAAACCCTCAGAAGAAGAGGCAAAAAAATAAAGAGCAGAAGAAAACAGAGACAAGACCATCATAACTTTCAGACAAATGCTCTATGGCCTCCTGGGTTAGTTCAACATCGAAAGATGGTACTGGGAGGATGTCTGAACCTTCACCATATTGGATAGCAAGAAAGCAAATGCATGCCCAAGCAGACAGTCCAGAGGCCTTCCACACTCCTCTATTGTCACAGAACTGCCGTAAGTGCCACTACCATCCCCAAACCACTCACCGCCAAGTACCACCACAGTCTAGAAACCCAGAGGAATAAAACACATGAAAAGAGAGCTGCCAGCTTTGCTGGAAGACATGCTTAACCTAGCTACGGGGGTTACGATGAGTATTCAAGAAATCCAGCATAGTTGGATTTAATTAATACCTCCATTTAACTCAATTTGAAAACATCTTACTGGGCTCCAACTATATACCAGGCACTGAAGGTCTAGGGGAAGGAGATGAACTACGCAGGTGTTTGCCTCACATCCTCCACAAGTGTAGAGTCACTGCGGGGGTTTATACTCGCATGCTGTTTGTCTGCCCCCTCCCTTCCCCTTGAGGGAAGGCCACAGGATCCGGGCAGCCGCCTTCAGAGTCTTCCCTGAGGTTTCAGAAGGGCAAGGTCTCACATCCTTTTGAGTCCCAAGCAGTAATAATGTCGACCTGGAGCTGCCGGGAGACAGCTTTCAAGAGCAAGAGCATGAGAGAACAAGACAGCGAGGAAGAGAGAAAGACTAGAATCACACACACACACACACACACACAGAGAGAGAAAGACTAGGAATAGAGACACACACACATAGAGGGTGGGGAGGGTGGGGTGTGGAGAGAGAGAAAGAGAGAGGAGAAAGAAAGACTATTTGGGCCTCTGGATTAAGCTTTTCCAAGCCAGATACACATTCTGGATTTGCCAGTAACTTGAGCTGGTGTAACCTAAGTTTGTAAAAAAAACCACATACATAGTCCTGACTGCTGTAGTCACTGAGTTTCAAGAGACAGACAAGACCATTATGAACTCATGAGTGGAGCTCATGAGAAATACTCTGGGCTTTCCAGGGAAGAAAGGAGGAGCGTGAAGATTTCATTTGTAGGGAAAAGCAAAGGAAAATGTAAAGAACAGCAAGCTAAGAAAGGAAAGATCGGTACCAGGAGCTCTGGATGTATGCTGGCTGCGACGCATTTTTTTTTTTTTTTTTTTTTTTACGGTGTCTTACTCTGTTGCCCAGGCTGGAGTGCAGTGGCATGATCTCAGCTCACTGCAACCTCTGCCTCCTGGGTTCAAGCAATTCTCCTGCCTCAGCCTTTTGAATAGCTGGGATTACAGGCATCCACCACCATGCCCACCTAATTTTTGTATTTTTAGTAGAGATGGGATTTCATCATGTTGTCCAGGCTGGTCTCGAACTCCCGACCTCGTGATCCACCCACCTCAGACTCCCAAAGTGCTGGGATTATAGGCATGAACTACCATGCCTGGCTGACTGCGGTGCTTTTTTTTCTTTTTTTCTTTTTTAGGAGAAAAGGCATATAAAGTTATTAACATGCACAGGGGTAGGGTCTGAATCACAAAGTGATGACTTTACTTATGCACTGGGGTACAGATGCTTATATACCCTTCTTCTTAGAGGAAAGGGAGATGGGGAAGTGTGGATGATTTTAGGCGGCTAGTAAATGACTTTTAGGGGAATTCAATGGGCTTTAAAATCATACAGTGGCCTGGGACACAGTCTGCTGGGCCCACAGAGCAGATGATAGTTTGTGACAAGTCTGTGCTGGTATGCTGACAGACTGCAGCCTTTCTTCCTGCAATGTGAGTCCAGCTTATGAAAACTCAGAGGAGGAACCAGAGCTTATGAAAACTCAGAGGAGGGACAGGTCTGGACTTCAGGCACAAAGAGACTTTCAGGGAACATCTTCATCTTATGCTTTGAGAGAGACAGAGGATTGAGAAGCAGGAGGTGGTGCATGCCAGAGAGACCTTGTGGCTGCTTCTTCATGTCAGCCATACGTGGGGGTAATAGTTTCTGAGCCCCATTTCAATCTTACTATTCTGCTTCAATGAATTACCTTACATGTGAATCACTGCACACATATTCAACTCTATTTGTAAAGTAAATGTTTTGTTTAGAAATAAAAATTGAATGAGTTAGCAAAACTATGATCCTTTAGACCCAGTGAAATATTTGGAGCTGTTTTCCTGTTTAATTTTGATTTTTCATCAATCTGGAGCTAGATTCATCTATGTTTAAAACCAGTTTTTGAGTGATGTATGTGTTAGTATTTATTTATCATTTAACTTCCAGGATACTAGAGTAGAAATAAAGATACAGCAAGAGGAACATGCCTGTAGTCCTTCCCTGAGAGGCAGGAGTACAGTGAAAAGACTTGGCCTTGGCACACAACATGCCCCAACTGTTGGGGTCACCCACGTGGTGTTGAGGCTCGATAACTCCAAATTTGGGATATCTTTACTATCCTTCTAATAGTCTACTCTTCTTCTATTAGCCTCTCATCCTATTATTCTATTATTGTGTTTTGTCCAGACCCCAGAGACTAAAGATATCCTTCTTTTAAAATTTTTTGATACATTGTATTTGTACATATTTATGGGGTGCATGTGTAATGTGAAATTACATGCATAGAATGTGTAATGGTCCAGTCAGAGCATTTAGGGTATCTATCGCCTGAGTATTTATCATTTCTCTGTGTTGGGTTATATTTCAAACCTTCTCTTCCAGCAATTTTGAAAACTGCAATATGTTGTTGTTAACTCTAGTCACCCCACTCTGCTATCAAACATTAGAACATTCCTCCCAACTGTATATTCATATCTATTAATCAAACCTGTCTTCATCCTCTCCCTCTCACCCCTATAACCTTCCCAGCCTCTGGTATCTATCATGCCACTTTCTACCTCTATGTGATCAACATTTTTAGCTCCTAAATATGGGTGAGAATGCACAATATTTTTCTTTCTTTGTCTTGCTTATTTCACTTCACATAATGATGAAGATGCTTTGGCACCTTATGCCAAGATCCCCAAATCCCACCCTGAGATGTCAGTGTGTTGATGCCAACCCCCAAGTGAGGCTTTCCAGCCCATCCTTTTACCTCAGAATATATCTGACATTACAGAAATTCAGATGTAAGTTCTGACTCAGACCCCCAAGATCTGGTGACATTGAAAAACCAGATGAGGACTTTGTATACACGTGTATACACGTGGCCATGCCTGACTATCCGTTTAGTCAAAAACGCACACTGGTGGTTTAATTGAATTGACCTTTTGGTTATATGACAAAGTTAATTGGGGTTACAGACAATCCAATTATACATATTGACACAGCCTATAATGAACTCTATTTTCTGTGGTGGTAAGGAGAATTTCAAATAAGTTACCTAATTCTTCTTGGCTCCATTTTTGTTTTCTAGATCTGGAAAGGCAAACAAAAAATATCCGGCACAATCAGAAGAGTATACAAGGATGTTCCAAGTAGCATTTTGTATAATGGCAAAATATTGTTAATAACCTAAATCTGTATCAAAAAGATTGAATGAAATATAGTACATTCAGAAGCAGCATTAAAAAAGATACACTTTATACACTGTCCACCATTCATATTTATGGGTTCCAAATTTGTGGATTCAATTAACATAGCTCAAAAATATTTTTAAAAAACAATACAAAAATAAAATATTACAAGTATGAAAACAATACAATATAACGACTATTTACATACCATTTAGATTGTATTAGGTATTATAAGTCATCTAGATATGATTTAAAGTAAATGGGAGGGTATGTGTAGGTTATATGCAAATACTATACCATTTTATATAAGGGACTTAATCCGTGGATTTTGGTATGTATGGGGAGTCCTGGAACCAATTCCCCACAGGTACCAAGAGATGATTGTATTGGCATGGAAAGCTGTCCATGATATATCTGTGAAATGGGAAGAGAACTAGGTTTTATGACAACAAGTACATCAGAATTTCATTTTCTATGTATATGTGTAAATATACATTACAAACTCATAGAAGGATGCACCCAGTGGTTAATGAGGCTATCTATGGTTACATGTGAGGATGGAGAGAAGAGACTAATTACAGGAGCATTTTTACCTTGTATTTATATGTATTTCTGTATTGCTTTATTTTTGTTCTATAGCCAGCATGTGTTATTTTTATAATTAAGAAATCCAATAAATATATTTCCATTTTAGAAAAAAACATAACTTTATTTGTTTTTTGTGAAAATAATATACATAAAGCCCTTATCAAAGGTCTGGACCATAGAAAGTGTTCATTCATGGTACTATATTACTGTTTCTACTATAAAACACTTGACAACTCTTTCCTCCATGTTTCATTTCCTAAGCTTCATCATGTCTTTATATAAATGTTACCTTTTTAGTAAAGCGTTCCCTGAGCTTCCCATCTCAATTGTCACCCTGTTCCACTACAAATACACACATGCACTCACTCTCTACCCTATTTGCCTTTTGCCTTTACACCACTTCTGTCTTATATGCTCTATTATTTACTTGTTTGCCTGGTGTATGCTCTTTCCTCCCACTGTAACATCAGCTGTAAGAAGGCAGCGGACGTTAGTCAACTTTGCTGTAGTCAACTTTGTTTACAGATGTATTCCCAGCACCAAAGATAGTTTGGCATACAGGAAGCCGTCAACAAATATTTGTGAAACGAACAAATGAATAACGATGCCAATCTTAAAATGTTATTGCAACTTTGGGATAGGCTTATGTATGCAGATTTCATGGACCACAGAAGCAGCAGAACTTAGTGATTCTTAAACGTATGTCTCTGGCACGGAACTGCCCACATGGGTTCACGAGTCTGCTTATTATAAGTTGAATTATCCTGCGGAAGTTACTTAGTCTCTCTAAGTCTTGGATTCGTTATCTATAAAGTGAAGATAAAAAGTAAAACAATGATTTCTGTTCCTCACTAAAATGGATTAACAGAGACCAGGTTTACCCTTCCAAAAGTGGAATATATATACCAATCGCCATCAGGCACCAAAGGGCAGTCATCCCTGAGAGACAGGAAACAATTGAGGGAAACCCTACAATTGCCCCAGCTTACAGCCTGGAGAGGTTGATAGGGTGTGGCACGTGAAGGTAGAACCCAAGCAGAGCCTGGTGGATTTCCTGAATCGAGGAGCAGAAGTTGAGAGTAGGAGCCCACAGTGGCCAGAGTTACAGGACAGAGTACCAAAGAGGAGAGAGAGCCACACGGAGGGAGAGCTCTGGAGTCCTGCAGAGGCTGCCCCACAAGTATTCAGCAGAGCACTGATCATGCAAGGGAAAAACACCTGAGAAGACTAGGGAGCGCAGTGCCCATGCTCACATGGGGTAGGGAACAGTGTTTATTCCCACACATCAAACTGGAAACCTCATGATTCACAGGGCATCAGATAGAGAATGCAGTCTTGCCCTTTTTGTGGAGAAAATAGGCCTACACTGAGCACCACTCCAGTCCTGCCTAACAAATATTAAAAGCAAGACCTGAAAGGATCCTACTGTTTCCAAGTAACTTACCTGTATTCCAGAACTCATCTTAGAAATATTTCTAGAAATCCAAATTTATCCAGCACCCAATAAGGTAAAATTTACGATGTCTATCATCCAGTAAAAGATAATCAGATATGCACAGAAGCAAGAAAATATGATTCACAACAAAGAGAAAAATCAATCAAAACTGATCCAGAACTGACGGATTTTAGAAATAGCAGGCAAGGACATTAAAACTGTTATTATAATTCTAACCCACATGTTCAAAGTTAAGTAGAGATATAAAAGATATTTAAAATAATCAAATCAAATTTTATTGTATTTTTCAACAAACTACATCTCAGAGTTTATAAAACAAGCAAAATGACACCAAGTTGCCTCTTAATCGAACTGCAAGAAACTAGTAATAAAAGGAAAGTTCTAAAAGTAGTCAGAGGAAAGACAGATGGTATGTACAGAAGAACAAAGAGAAGGATGACAGCAGTTTTCTCATCAGAAAAAGCACAAACAAAAAGACAATGGAACAACGTGTTAAAAGAAAAAATTTCAAACTAGAATTCTAGGCCAAGCAAAAGTATCTTTCAAAAATGAAGGCAAAATAAGGACTTTTTCAGAAATACAAAAGGTGAAAGATTTCATCACCAGCAGACGTGCACTACAAAAAATATTAAAGGAGTCATTCAGGCAGAAAGAAGTAATGCCAGATGGAAATAAGGATCTACACAAAGGAAGAATAGTGGAAGTGGTAATTGTAGGAATAATTATGTAAGAACTTGTAAAAATTTTATTTAGAATTTTTTTTTTTTTTTTTTTTTTTTGAGACGGAGTCTCGCTCTGTCGCCCAGGCCGGAGTGCAGTGGCACGATCTTGGCTCACTGCAAGCTCTGCTTCCTGGGTTCACGCCATTCTCCTGCCTCAGCCTCCCGAGTAGCTGAGAGTACAGGCGCCCGCCACCTCGCCTGGCTAATTTATTGTATTTTTAGTAGAGACGTGGTTTCACCATGTTAGCCAGAATGGTCTCCATCTCCTGACCTCATGATCCGCCCGTCTTGGCCCCGCAAAGTGCTGGGATTACAGGCGTGAGCCACTGTGCACGGCCAGAAATTTTTAAAAGATAATTGATTGTTTGAACAAAACTAACCACAATGTAGCATAGAGTTAAAAACATTTGACAAAGTAAAACGCATGACAACAATGGCATAGAGATTGGGAGGGGAAAAATAGAAGTACACTCATTCTTATACTACAGGTAAAGTGAATAAGGTCACTTCAAGTTAGGCTGTAATAAGTTACAGATGTATACCTTGAACTCTAAATCTACCACTAAAGTGACCAAAGAGTAATTTTTTGTTTTGTTTTTTTTTTTTGTTTTTTTTTTTTTTTTATCTTTGAAGGCCATTTAATTATCTTTTTCTTTTAACTGTCTTTTCATGTGTGTTTCCCCGTTTTCTATCAGGGGAAATTCTATCCTCTATTTTTTTTTTTTTTTTATTGATCATTCTTGAGTGTTTCTCGCAGAGGGGGATTTGGCAGGGTCATAGGACAATAGTGGAGGGAAGGTCAGCAGATAAACAAGTGAACAAAGGTCTCTGGTTTTCCTAGGCAGAGGACCCTGCGGCCTTCTGCAGTGTTTGTGTCCCTGGGTACTTGAGATTAGGGAGTGGTGATGACTCTTAAGGAGCATGCTGCCTTCAAGCATCCGTTTAACAAAGCACATCTTGCACCGCCCTTAATCCATTTAACCCTGAGTGGACACAGCACATGCTTCAGAGAGCACAGGGTTGGGGGTAAGGTTATAGATCAACAGGATCCCAAGGCAGAAGAATTTTTCTTAGTACAGAACAAAATGAAGTCTCCCATGTCTACCTCTTGCCACACAGACACAGCAACAATCTGATTTCTCTATCCTTTCCCCACCTTTCCCCCTTCTCTATTCCACAAAACCGCCATCGTCATCATGGCCCGTTCTCAATGAGCTGTTGGGTACACCTCCCAGACGGGGTGGTGGCCGGGCAGAGGGGCTCCTCACTTCCCAGAAGGGGCGGCTGCCGGGCGGAGGGGCTCCTCACTTCTCAGACGGGGCGGCTGCCGGGCGGAGGGGCTCCTCACTTCTCAGATGGGGCGGCTGCTGGACGGAGGGGCTCCTCACTTCTCAGATGGGGCGGCTGGGCAGAGACGCTCCTCACTTCCTAGACGGGATGGTGGCAGGGAAGAGGCGCTCCTCACTTCCCAGACTGGGTGGCTGGGCAGAGGGGCTCCTCACATCCCAGACGATGGGCGGCCAGGCAGAGACGCTCCTCACTTCCCAGAGGGGGTGGCGGCCGGGCAGAGGCTGCAATCTTGGCACTTTGGGAGGCCAAGGCAGGCGGCTGGGAGGTGGAGGTTGTAGCAAGCCGAGATCACGCCACTGCACTCCAGCCTGGGCACCATTGAGCACTGAGTGAACGAGACTCCATCTGCAATCCCGGCACCTCGGGAGGCCGAGGCTGGCGGATCACTCGCGGTTAGGAGCTGGAGACCAGCCCGGCCAACACAGCGAAACCCCGTCTCCACCAAAAAATACGAAAACCAGTCAGGCGTGGCGGCGCGCGCCTGCAATCGCAGGCACTCGGCAGGCTGAGGCAGGAGAATCAGGCAGGGAGGTTGCAGTGAGCCGAGATGGTGGCAGTACAGTCCAGCTTCGGCTCGGCATCAGAGGGAGACCGTGAAAAGAGAGGGAGAGGGAGATGGTGGGGAGACAGAGAGGGAGAGGGAGGGAGAGAGGGAGAGGGAGGGGGAGAGGGAGAGGGACAGGGAGAGGGGGAGTAATTGTTAATAAGCCAAAAAGGAACTTAAAATAAATAACAAAATTATTCAATTAATCCCAAAGAAGGCAGGAAAAGAATGAAGAGGAACAAAGGACAGTTAGGACAAATAAATAAAAGGTAAGATGATATATTTAAAGTTAACCATATAAATAATTACATTAACTGTAGTGTAAACGGTTTAAACACCCCAATTAAAAGGTAGAGATTGTCATATTGGCCCAACTATATGCTGCATACATGAAATACAATTAAATAATAATACACAAATAGGTTAACTGAATGAGAAGAGATAAACTGTGATAACACTGATTAAAGGAAAGATGGAGTACCTATCTCAATATCATTAATATAACACAAAGTATATTTCAGAGGAAATAATATTATCAGGGATAGAAAGATTGTTTCATAATGATAAAGGAATCAATTCATCAAGAGAATATAACAATACTAAATATATATGCACCTAATAAAAGATCTTCAAAGCATACAAATCAAAGATTGATGGAACAACAAGAAGAAATAGAGAAATTCACAATGATAGTTTACTATCCCATTTTTATCTTTGATAAAACAATAGAAAGAAAATCAGTTAGGATATAGAATAGATTATGCAAACACTATCAACCAACTTGACCTAATTGACATCTAACACTCCATCCAAGAATAACAGAATATACATTCTTTTCAATGCACACAAAACATTTACCAAGATAAGTCATATTCTGGGCCATAAAATAAGTCTCAATAAATGTAAAAGGATTTGTTATAAAAAATGTATTCTCTGGTCACAGTGGAATTAAAACATAAATCAATTACTGAAAGATCACTGGCAAATCTCCAAATATTTGAAAACTAACATATTTCTAAATAACCCTGGAGGTCAAAGAAGAAATCATAAGGGAAATTAGAAAAGTATTTGAACTGAATAAAAGTGGAAACATAACATATCAAAATTTGTGAGATGCTGCTAAATAATACTTCAGAGGAATTTTATTGCCCTAAACTAAAACATTAGAAAAGAACAAAGGTCTCCAGTCAGTAACCTCCATTCTTACATTAAGAAACGAGAAAAAAAGAGAAAATTAAGCATACAATAGTAGAAGAGAGAAAACAATGCACATTAGGGTGGAAATCAATGAAATAGAAGAGCAAAGCAAAAGAGACAAATCAATGAAACCAAAAGCTGTTTCTTTGAGAAGATCAATAAAGTTGATCAATTTCAAGCCAGACTGATCAGGAAAATAGAAACAGAAGACACAAATTACTAATATCAGGAGTAAGAGAGGTGACATCCCTGCAGATTCTACTACTATTAAAAGGATAATAAGGGACTAGTACTGTATTAATTTCCTAGGGCTGCTGTAACTAAGTACCATAAACGTATAGCTTAAACAACAGAAATTTATTCTCTCACACTTCTGGAGCTAGAAGTCCAAGATCAAGGTGTCAGCGAGTCATTTTTCCTCTGAGACTCTGGGTAGAATCCTTCCTTGCCTTTTTCTGTCTTCTGGTAGGGGCTAGAAATTCATGGCATTACTTGGCCTGCAGCTGCTTCACTCCAATCTCTGCCTCTGTTGTCTGTGGGTTTATGTCTCTGTGTCCATATTTCTCTCTTCTTATAAGGACACCAACTATATTAGGTGTAGGGCCCACCCTAATCCAGTATTACCTCGTCTTGATTAATTATATCTGCAAAGACCCTATTTCTAAATAAGGTCACATTCTGAGGTGCTGGTTGACATGAATTGTTGGGAGACACTACTCAACCTAGTACAATTATGAACAACCTATACCAATAGATTCAACAATTTCGAAGAGCTGGTCAAATTTCTTAAAAGATGCAAACTAGTGAATTTCACTCAAAAAGAAATACATAACCTGTCTCACGAAGAAATAAATACCTGAGTAGTCTCATATCTATTAGAGAAATTAAAGTCATAGTTTAAAATCTTTCCACCAGGAAAACAAAAACAAAAACAAAAAACCACTCAGGACCAGATGGCTTCACTGATGAATTCTTCCTTGAGGAAGAAATAATATTGATTTTACAAATTCTTCCAGAATGCCAATTGTACCAATTCTGCAAATTGAAGACAAATGAATACTTCCCTCTACTCATTCTATGAAGCCAGTCCTGATACTAAGCCCTAATACCAAAAACAGGTAAAGAAAAGAAAGCTACAGAAAAGTATCTCTCATGACTATGATGCAAACTTCTTAACAAAATTTTAGTTAATCGAATCCAAAATATCTAGAAAAGATCATTCATCACAACCTAGAGAGGGTTCTGGGAATGCATGATTGGTTTAACATTTGGAAAATGAATTGATGTGATTTACCATACTAACAAACTAAAAAAAGGGAAAATAGTCATATCATCTCAAGAGACATAAAAAGCATTTTCCAATATTTGACATCCATTCCCAATAAAAAGTGTCAGCAAACTAGAAATAGAAGGGAACTTTTTCAATCTGATAAAGGGCACTTAATGAAAAAATCTACAGCTAACTTCATACTTAAAGGTGAAAGACCAGCCTGACCAACAAGGAGAAACCTCATCTCTACTAAAAATATAAAATTAGCTGGGTGTGGTGGCGCAGGCATGTAATCTCAGCTACTCAGAAGGCTGAGGCAGGAGAATCGTTTGAACCCAGGAGGTGGAGTTTGCGGTGAGCCGAGATTGCGCCACTGCAATCCAGTCTGGTCAACAAGAGTGAAACTCTGTCTCAAAAAAAAAAAAAAAAAAAAAAGACTGTTTTCTCCCTAAGATCTGGAACAAGATAAGTAAGACTTTCTGCTCTCACTACTTTTATTCAACATGGTGCTGGAAATTCTAACCGATGTAATTGATCAATAAAAAGAAACAAAAAGCATCCACATTGATAAAGAAGAAACAAAATTGGTTTTATTCACAGGTGACATCATCTATGCAAATATGATGCTATATGTAAAAACAAGGAAACAGAAACACAATTACTACAACTAATAAGTCAGTTTATTAAGGACATGAAACACAAGGTCAATTTAAAAATCAATTGTATTTCTAAATCCTAGCAACAAACATCAGAAATATTAAAATAACATTGACAATAGCATAAAAATATGAAATTCTTAAAAATAAGCCTAAGGAAATGCAAAATATACACACTAAAACTACAAAATGTTGCTGAAATAAATTAAAGAATAAATAAATAGAGAGACATACCTTTGTGGGTTGGAAGAATTAATTTTAAGATGTCAATTTTCCTCAAATAGATGTATGTACTTAATGCAATCTCTATAAAAATAGAAATTGACAAGCTGATTCTAAAATTTATATGGAAATGCCAAGTACCTGAAGTAGCAAAAATAATTTTGAAAAAGAACAAATTTGGTATTGGCGTAAAGATAGATAGATCAATGGAATAGAATAGTCAGAAAAATTCACACACGTGAAAAACTGATTTTTAATCAAAATAGAATCGTAATTCAGTAGAGAAAGCATAGTCTTAGGAACTAAATAGTGTCAGAACAGTTACTGTGCAAAAAAACCCTCAATTCAATATTTCATACTATATATAAAAATTAAATGGTTCACAAATCTAAATGAAAAACCTACAACTATAACAATTCTGGAAGACAATGGAGAAGAAAATTTTTGTTACCTTAGGTTAGGTAAAGGTATTTTAGATATGACATCAAAAACAAAGTGTATATGAGAACAAATTGATAAACTAAACCATCAAAATTAAAAACGTTTTCTTTTCCAAAGACATTGTTAAGAGAAAGATAAGTCACAGATTGGAAGAAAATATTTGCCAATCATATATGTGATAAAGGACTAGTATCCGGAATATATTGAGAACTCTCTAAACTTAATAGTAAGAAAACAAACAACTTAAGTCTTAAAAGTGGGCGAAAGATTTGAATAGGAACTTCACCAAAGAAGACACATGTGTAGCAAAATGCAAAGATGCTCAACATCATTAGTTATAAGGGAAAGGCACAGTAGAACCACAATAAAATATCACTGTGTATGCTCCTTGATTTGCAATGGGGTCACAACCTAATAAGCGCAACCGAAGTTATTTATTTATGTATTTATTTATTTATTGAGACGGAGTCTCACTCTGTTGCCCAGGCTGGAGTGCAGTGGTGTAATCTTGGCTCACCGCAACCTCCACCTCCTGGGTTCAAGCAGTTCTCCTGCCTCAGCCTCCTGAGTACCTGGGATTACAGGCATGTGCCGCCACACCTGGCTAATTTTTGTATTTTTAGTAGAGACGGAGTTTCGCCATGTTGGCCAGGCTGGTCTTGAACTCCTGACTTCAGGTAATCTGCCCACCTTGGCCTCTCAAAGTGCTGGGATTAAAGGCATGAGCCACCGCACCCGTCCATAAGTTTAAAATATTGTAATTCAAAAATGCATTTAATACCCTGATAGATATATCATAAAGTTGAAAATTTATAAGTTGAACAGTCTTAAGTCTGGATGTCACTTGATTTACAATGGAGTTGCATCCTGATAAATCCATTGTAAAGTTGAACATTTCTAAATTGAACCATTGTAAAGCAGGGACTGTCTGTACATACCTGTTAGGATGGTTAAAATTCAAAGGACTGACTATATCAAATGTTGACAAAGATGTGCAGAAACTGGATCTCTCATATACCACTGTTGGAAATGCAAAATGGTACATCCAGTTTGGAAAAAAATTGTGCAGTTTCTTCAGCATACATCTATCATATGATCCAGCCATCCTAATTCTAGGCATTCACTCAAGAGAAATGTATATATTTATATAGAGATGTGTATAAAGATGTTCTAAGCTACTTTATTTGTAATAGCCTCAAGCTGGAAACCACTGAAATGTCCATCAACAGTTGAATGGATAAATGATGGCATATCCGTATAATTGAATACTTTTCAGCAATTAAAAGGAATGACCATTTATATAAAACTTGAGAAGCTGGGTACAGCAGCACGTGCCTATAGTGCCAGCTACGTGGGAGGCTGAGGGAGTAGGGTTGCTTGAGGCCAGGAGTTTGAGGCTGCAGTGCACTATGATCACATCTATGGATACTGCACTTCAGCCTGGGCAATATTTCGAGACCCCTTTTCTAAAAAAAGAATAAATAAATAAATTAGAAAATGCAAACCAACGTATAGTGCCAGAAAGCAGATCAGTGGTTGCCCGGGGATGGAGAAGGAAGCAGGGAGGGACAGAAGTAAGACGTGGGTTACAAAAGGGGCATGAGGAAATTTCTGGGGTGACAGAAATCTTCATTATCTTCATGGCCATGATGGTTTTATAGGTGTTTACATAGGTCAACTTATTAAATTATATTCATTAAATATATGCAGTTTATTTTGTCAGTTATACTTCAATTTAGCTATTTTAAAAAAAAATCAGAATCTTAGGATTATTATTAAGTGAGATTTTATATATACATATAAAGTTCTAGAGCATAAGTGGTTTTAAAATGCTAGTTATTATGTCAATAGATAGTGCATTTGGCTTTTTTAACCTTCATCTTTGTTTTCTCTTAACCTATTTGCAGAGGAGGGGATGTAACTTACATACCGTAAATTGTACAGATACTAAGTATATAACCTGATAAATTTTTGCATATATTTCCAGAACCCCAAGAAGTACCCCATGTCCCCCGCCGGTTAATAATCTCCACAACACAACCATTCTCCTGACAGCCACCACCATAGATTTGTTTTGCTTGTTTCTTTGCTTGACATAAGTGGAATCATAGTGTGTGCTCTTGTGCCTGCCTTCCTTCACAAAACATTACGGCTGTGAGACTCATCCTTGTTGCATGTGATCATTGTTAAATCTTGTTCCTTACTGTGTCATATTCCACTGTGTGAATATACTATGGATCATTTATTTATTGTACTGCTGCTGGTGGACATGTAGGTTGTTTCCAGTTCATGGCTACTAAGCTGCTATGAATGATCTCATATGTGTCTTTTGGGGAGACAGAGGCACCTGCATCTATCTGATTGACAAGCGTGGTCCCTAGTTGCAAAAGAAGTTGGGAAAGCGAGCGGCTCACACTTTCCAAGGGGGAAGTTTGGCTCAGCTTGCTGCCAAGACTCCTTCAGTGGGGATTTCCCCAAGACCAGGAAAGGGGTTCAGCTGCTGTGCGGCCAAAAAGAATGACAAATGTCCTCCATCTGTTTCTTGGTGGCTTATTCCAGCAGAGTTTATAAGAAGCAGTAATTAGAAGGGCCACACCTCCTAACAATCTCCCTACCCACCTCAGTTCCAATTAAGTCAGCAAAGTCCAACTCCTAACTCCATCAAACCTACCTGTTGTAGCAGTGCCTACACTTAAATTATATGGAGGATCGTCTGAACCACCACTCCCTGAAAAAGAAAGGAGCCCGAGGTTCAATAATTTGGGGATTACTGCATCCTCTCCCCCCACTGAAGATGTACAACCTACATTAGTATGTTAGAGATTATGCAAAGTCCCATAGGAATAAAACTGTTTTATTCTAGCATTTCTTTTTTCTTTTTTTTTTTTTGAGATGGAGTCTCGCTCTGTCACCCAGGCTGGAGTGCAGTGGCCTGATCTTGGCTCACTGCAAGGTCTGCCTCCCAGGTTCATGCCATTCTCCTACCTCAACCTCCCCAGTAGCTGGGACTACAGGTGCCCACTACCACACCCAGCTAATTTTTTTTTTTTGTATTTTTTTAGTAGAGACGGGGTTTCACTGTGTTAGCCAGGATGGTCTCGATCTCCTGACCTGGTGATCCACCCGCCTCGGCCTTCCAAAGTGCTAGGATTACAGGTGTGAGCCACCGTGCCCAGCCTTATTCTAGCATTTCTAAAACTTATTTTCAGGTTCCAGCCACAGCTTTCTGCGGAGCCAGTGTCTCTGGGAGTGTGGCATAGGAAACAGTCCTTCTTGAGATTGTGGAAACCCTTTCCCGTGTTCTTCAGGTTTTCCTTCTTACTATGTAACAGCCAGACCATCCCACCGGCCAGCACATGTGGGATCTGAGTAATCTGGGAATACTTTTGCCCCAGATGCTTGCTCAGGGATATCTGAAAATCTGCTTTCAGAGATTAGTCTGCTTTTAAAAGCACAGCTTTCACACTGAGGTCTTCTCAGAAAAATCAATATTTTTTGACTGGGTAACAAAATCCCAGCTCCTCAGCTTTGAGACACTGTAGCAGGTAGATAGAGGGTAAAGAACGGAGAGAGGGAATCTTTCAAGAAGAGGGAATCTGGCACTGAAGGCAAACCCCTTGTGCCAGGTAGCTGCCGGAGACCATGAAGAGGAGCAGAGCCTTTGGCAGCTCTTGAACACAGGTACTGGGACAAGAGGGGATCTTTTAGGAGTGGTATTAAGACCTGGGGAGGCTCAAGGGGAGGTGGGGGGGAAGTCAAATCCACATAGGAATTCATTTGTTGTGAGGCTGAAAACAAAATCTGGTTTGTACCGTATTTACTCTTAAACTCATGATGCTAAAGCTTCATGACCCACACTTGCAGGACCTCTCCCAAGACACTGGACATGAAGTTATCATCTTCAGGACTGTATTTTTCTTATAGAGAATCCATAATTTTGTTGTTGTTGTTGTTTTGTAGAGACAGGGTTTCGCCATGTTTCCCAGGTTGGTCTCGAGCTCCTGGTTTCAAGTGATCCACCCACCTCAGCCTCCCAAAGTGCTGGGATTACAGGCATGAGCCACGGCACCCAGCCTGAGAGCCCATAACATTTGGATCTGCCCAGTCTAGGTATTTGTACTAAAGACATTGTTTCCTTGATATACCTTTTCCTCCTTTTTCTATCCTTTTCTGACCTTTGCGTCCCCATCCACTTGGGCAAAGCACTGTGTATGCGTGTGCACGTGTGCACACGTGTATTGTGTGTGCATGTGGTCTGTGTGCACCTGTGTAAATTTGTGAGTGCATGCTTATGTGTGTGGGTGCACGTGTGTGTATGTGCCAGAGGGTCTCTGTTTTCATTGAAATTGCACACATTTTCAGGGCCTCACGTTGTTCTAAATGCTTTTTCTTCCAACTCGAGAAAGTCCAACCGTATAGCACAAAGCTCTCAGCCCATTTCCCCAGAACGGCTGAAACTTATTGCAGTCATGCTGAAAATGGCTCTAAACATAATTAAGGCGCTTTTTTTTTCAGCACCCTGAACATTTTTCTCTCTCCAGATAATGTCTTGGAAATGGCCCAGAACCCTATGGAGTTGTAAAGGCAACAGGATCTTTGGTATGGTTACATTCCAAAGATGCCTACACGGGTTTATCACATCAAGAGGGGAAGAAATAAAACCTCATTTCTGCAGCCCCCTCCCTATCACAAGCTCCTCCATGGACGGTGTCATGCAAAGCTGGAATGAGGCCTGAAGTAACTACAGCAACACAAATGCCCTCTCTCCAGGCAGGCTCAGGGTCTATCCTCATATTTATTTGGGGGCAACATTTTAAATAACTTTCCCTACAGCAAAATCATTCCAGCATTCCTGGTTTGTTAAAATACACTTCATCCCAGGTTACCTTTTACCAAATGAGAGCCGATGAAGGGTGTTTCAAAATGGTCAATTCAAGTGTATTTCTGCTGTGGCAGGCCCCTCTCTGGCCGCTATTGTTGGGGTAATGGAAGCGTGAGCCTGTAAATCCAAGATTAGCCCTGCTTGTGCTCACCTTGACGCAGTCTTTGAGTCTAATTCTGCTGGGCTGGGAACTGATAAGAGGAAAAAAGCTTTGCTCACGGGTTTAGTTCCTGACTCTGAAGGACTGGAAAATGTGACGGATATGAAAGTAAAAGTGTCCCTGAAAATGTCTCAAGGATGGGGCACAGCCTCGTTGGTAGGGACTGATGGAGAGGGGTTGAATGGGCAAGCTCAGGGCCTTGGTGCAGGGCACAGGTGGGGACGGAGAGGTTAGACATGACCACTGGGAAGAGGAGTCAAGAGGAGAGAGCAAGGGGTGCTCCATGGCTCACCCATTTTCTGTAACTACCACCCACAAGGATTTGAAGTGGCTTCCAGTAAAATTTGGTTGACAAACCTGCAAAACTAAAGAAGTAAAAACGTTGCTTGTGTGACAAAAGGGGTAGGGGATCATTACATCCAAAAATCAACCATAGGGGAAGCTACTAAAAATAAAAACAAACTTCAGCTCTGAGCTTCCAGAAATGCTGGGGGGGAAGGGAAGCATCAAGTGTCACATAGTTTTTTGCTTAGCAGGACACCGTGGGAGCAAGCAGCATACCTGAACCCCCGGAGGCTAGCACAGTGCCCAGCACATAGTACGCTCCTGGAAAGTATTTGTTGATTGAATAAATGGGCCAAGAAGCCTGCAGATTGCGCCTACGGGGAGCCTGCCAAAATTGTCATTGATGGCTGGCAAACAAAGCAGTGTTGGGGAAAGCGAAAAATAAGAGAGTCCTCAAAGGGACTGGCTGCAGAATTGCAACTAGCACGACTTCTTTCCACTTAAAAACACGTCATGAAATATAACATAGAAAAAGAAAAGTGCACAAAACATATGCGGTCAATTATAACCAGCAGGCAGATTAAAAAGTAGAATAGAGGCAGTCTCTGACTCACGATGCCTTGACTTACGATTTTTTGATGGTGTGATCAATGGGGTTACAATACTTACAGTGGGGTTACAACACAATCAAGGAACGTTTGTGTTACCACGATGGCAAAAGCCCCCAAGACATCCTTCCCATCCAGAGCGATTCATTGTCTTGTTATTCAGCCCAATAATTTCCTTGCTTTTCTTTGTATGTTTGCCACCTATGTATTTCAAACCTAAAAATATGGCTCTGTGTTTTCTGTTTTAGGATGAATGGAATTACACCAATGTATTCTTTTTTCCTGATTCTCTCACTCAGGATAATGTTTGTGAGTCTCTCATGTTTGCACAGCTGCAGTTTGGCCATTATTGTTGGATTGTGTGAATTACACTTTATCCACACATGCTCCTGTCAGTGGACATTTGGGTTTTATTCCAGTCTTTGGCAGCCTGCGTGGGCTTTCAGGCCAAATCTGAGGTACATACCCATGAGCTCTCACTTCTGGTTGACATGTGCTCAAGCTCTTTTGGCCAGCAGGCCATAGCTGCCCCATGAAAAACACCTTGGTTGCTGCCCAGCAACTCCAGGGCTCTTGTGAGGCTCTAAGTCCCCACCTGTCCCAGAAATCTGTGTTCTGGGAACCCAGTGACTGTCCTATGGCCCCACACCTGCAGCTGTCTTTCTGGCTCAGACACTGAATTCTCTTTCACTCAAGTTTTACTCTATTTTCTTGTGTCTGGATTTCACCTCTGCTGTGTTTTCTAACTCATGGGCTAATGCTATCCAGCCCACCTGACAACAGTGGCTGGGTTGCCTTCCCCTAAATTTGAAAGGGAATTCCAATTGTTGCCCCAGTGCCCGCTATCCGCCTGGGCTCTCTGAATCTGATCAAACATGTTTATTGGTTTTGAGGACATGAACAGTGTCTACTGCATCTTTACAGCCAACTGAGGAATGACCAATCGGCCAGCTTCAATGAATCCAAAGTCAAGGGATACAAATGTAAAACTCTCCCACTATTTGATGCAGCCACTGTCTCTCAATTATTTCATTAAATGAGTTACAAATACTGTTTTATCTCAACCCAAATTGAATAATGAAGGAAATCAGATTCATCAATTCAATTAACCAACATTATTGTGTACTTAGCATGGCCCAGACACCCTTGTTGAGTGCTTTGAATTTAATAATAAGACAAAAAAAGACAAAATGCTGGGGAAAGTGTCGTTTTTAAAGTGCAGCCTGTCCCTGTACTGTAACGGTGGCACTACAGCTCATATTTAGAATGTCCAGTAAGGGCTTTTTGCTTGTGCAAAGGTATGGCAGAGAGTGGTGGGGGGCGGCGATCATAACAGAGGGTGGGGAGCACCCTTAGCAGGAGAGTGGCCGTCTGCATCACCAGGGGAGGGAGGGCTTATAGGGCAGACTTGTTTGGCTGGAGCAGATCTGCCAGCCAGAATTAAGAAGACTGATGGCCAAAGGAAGACCCCGGACAGAGAGAAGGTGGGAGGACGTGGGGAGTGGCTTTTCTGAAGCTTTCTCTTTCTAAGTTGTTATTCACCCCATGTTACCCTCAACCTTTCGTAAAACTTTGTTGGACAGTGTGGTTTACTGTTGGTGGGGCTGGGTAGCAACAAAGATTGTGCCTGATGGGGACAAGGGACAGGGCAGCCCCACTGGTGCGAACTCGCCCAGAGCAGCTGTGGGAGGAGGAGGGAAGGGGCCTGTGAGAGAGGAAGAGCAATGGGGCCCTGCCTTTCTCCGTCACACCAGCAAGGGCTTGGGTCAGGGGAGTTGACGTTCCCGAAGCGGTTAACCCAGGAGTGCGGAGAGCTTGGGACCTCTGGGTTAAACATAATGAACATGGTGGAGTCCCTGCTCTCAAGGCATTCCGATCCAGATAGAGGAACCAGTCTGCGCACTGATGTGTAAAGCACCATGTTGAGCTCCTGGAGGAAGAGGAAGTTGCACCTGGGGAAGGCTTCCTGGAGGAGGCAGTCTAGAGGCCTTGAAGAACAAGACATCTGGAGGCCAGGCCGTGTGCAGGTCGTTGTGACGGGTGGCACCTAGGGCGTATGGGAACAGCAGCAGTGGGAGACAGGTGAGCATGTCAGTGCCAGGCCACTGGTTCTCTGATTGCCCGGGTTCTGTGTTTCTCCTTCTCTCACTGTTCCTTGCTTCACGGCTTCTCACGGTGCTGCCCCAGAGGATTCGCACAGGGAGCAAAACTGGAATCCCTGGGCTCAGCGCCAAATGTGCAGCCCCAGGGAGCTGCTGAGCGGTGCCAGGGGCCCACCTTGGCCCAGGAACGTCTTTGAACCATGTGAGGCCATGTGTGTGTCCGGCGTCCCGCTCGCCTGCGGTAGCCACGTAGACTCCGCGTCCCCCCCAGGCTGGATCCTCTCCAGGCTGCAGTGGGCTTGTTCTGGCAGTGCTGTCCCATAGGCTGCCCTTAAAGAGGAGGCCTCTGAGCCGGCCCTGACCAAGTCACCAACCCCAGCTGGAAGACCCACCAGGTGCGGTCGGCTGGTGCCCGCCCTGTTGCTCATGGAGGCAGCAGCTTCCTCACTGCTCCTCTTCTAATCGGTCAATGATTTCCAGAGGCAACAATAACTCATGTTTTTACTGCTTGCTTGAAAGCCTGAGCCTCCCCTTCCCCATGAGCGAGACTATGACGTAACGGAGGCACGATTGAAAGGAAAGTTCGGTGAAATACAGCCTTCCCTGTATTTCAGTGTCCTCATATTTTCAAAGAGAATAGAAATGGAAGTTTTTAAAGTTGGCCATTCATTTCACGCTGCAATGGGGAGTCACGAGTCCTTAATTTTTGCATAAACTCTGTTAGAATTTAGTGTTTTCAATTTAGACAGGTCAACTCATCTTTTTTTTTAAACTTAATTTTCCCTTTTATAAAATACAGTATTGTCGTTCCCAACCTCTTTCCCTAAAAGGATGTTAAAATCCAAACGTTTGGTCAGCTTCACCCCTCCTCACCCCAATTCCCCATTTCTTGACATACATGTTTCAGACAATGATGTTAAGGCTCCCCTGGGCACCAGCCTGGGGGCCATCTTTGACTCTTTCCCATCTCCTGTCATCTGCATTCCATCAACCGCAAGTCCCATCCACTCTTTCCGCCTCCCACTGCCCAACCACCCATGCCCTCCCCAGGGGCAGCTAGCCTCTATTCCCCATCTGCTTCCTCCCGGGCTATCGAATTCACCTCCCGAGCAGTCACCTCCTCAGCATGTGTCTCCTCCAGCCACCTACATACTGCTGCCGGGTCAGCTTCCCAAAATGTCCTTCTCCACAGATGGTCCTCTATATCAGTGGTTCCCCACCAGCGCGATTCTGCCTCCAGAGATGTGATGGTGTCAGGAGATGCTTGTGGGTGTCACGCGGGCTTGTGTGCTGCTCCTGGCACGTGGAGGGTAAGAGGCCAGGGATGCTTCTGGACATCCTGGAATGCATGTTGCACACAGCCCCTTCCACAAAGAATGAGCTGTCCCAGAATGTCAGTAGCGTCACGGCTGAAAACCCTGCTCTAAGCGAAACCCTTTCATTGGCTTCCTAGAACTGATTAAAAAAAAAAAAAAATTACCCTGGAATCAAGGCCCTGAGCAATCAGCCTTCCAACCTGGCTCCAACTTTATCTTCTTTTAGCTCCCAACATCCATGTCCTGCAAGACAAATACTCAGGTTGAGACTAATGGGTTCTTGAAGACTCCCCAGGTCCCCACTATCACCCCCACCCTCAGCTCACAGAGAATGTGAAATGCTTTGTGTCTGTCTCTGCCACCTGAGCAAACTATGCATTCCCTTGGATTGCTGATTGCCTTTCCACCTGTAATGAAGACACTATGAATGGCCTCCTTGGGGTCAGAAACACTCTCACTACCCCAGAGACTCAGTGACTGCTGAGGAAGAAATTCCTAGAAAGAGGAATGAGGCCGGGCGCGGTGGCTCACGCCTATAATCCCAGCACTTTGGGAGGCCGAGGCAGGTGGATGGCTTGACGTCAGGAGTTTGAGACCAGCCTGGCCAACATGGTGAAACCTCATCTCTACTAAAAATACAAAAATTAGCCAGGCATGGAGGTGGGTGCCTGTAATCCCAGCTACTCTAGAGGCTGAGGCAGGAGAATCGCTTGAACCAGGGAGGCAGAAGTTGCAGTGAGCCGAGATCGCGCCATTACACTCCAGCCTGGGCAACAGAGCGAGACTCTGTCTCAAAAAGGAAAAGGAATGAGCCCTCTGGAAGAACATGCTATTTGAGTCCAAGACACTGTGCTCAAAAGAGCTCTTGAGCTCCTAGCAGCACTTGGTATACATTAACAATGAGACCACCCAGCTCTGCAGACCCCAGACACACTTTGGGATACACCACAGTGTCCTGTATTTCTCATCCAAGACCACCCTGGCGCCTGTACAGAGCACTGGGTCTGAGTGTATGTTCCCAGCACTCTGGGAAGACAGGCACTTGAGATAGATCCCTCTTGGGGGCACAAGCCCACCAGTCAGATGTCCACACATTCCTTTGCATGCTTCCTTGCTGCACTTCATGGAATGATAGACTGTAGACAAGATTCAAGTCCAATCTTATTTTACATATCAGGAATTTCTTTGAACTAGAGAGAAGTGGGGTCATTTAACCCAATATCCTGCCCTTGGACAGCATCATCATTGTCATCATCATCATTACCATCATTGTTGTCTTTACAAAAATCATTAATACAATCTTTCGTGGTGCACAACAGAACTAGGACTGATACAACTAAACAACCCTTGTTTCCTTGGCGCTTATAATCTAGGGCACACATGGATACTTAGGACTTCCAGAAGGCAGAAAAAGCTTAGTATATGGCTAAAATAAGCCTAGGACAAGGCATTTATGTGTGTAGTCAATCAACAAGAATTTATTGAGCTCAGAAGAATACAGGGTCATGTTGGAGCATAAAAAGAGAAATGAGATATGACAATAAAAAAGCCACTGATTTTAAAAAATAAATATCAAACTATGTCATCAAATTGACTGTTACCTTTCAAAATAGTCACCTTAAAATGGATTCCAACATTACTGTTATTTTTTTAAATGCTTGCAGGTTGCCTGCTTTAGGACTTTGTTTAACGCAAATTTTTAATAATCTGTATGATTCTAAAACCCTGCAAAAATTTGCATCATCTAACTTAATCACTCATATTAGGCACCTCAGATCTCCAGACAACTTAGCAGTTCCCCAGAATCAAAGCCATTCCTCAAGGAAGATTTGTCACTGTACGATTTTGGAATATTTTTGGATGCAAGTGACAGAAAATCTCACCTATAGCGGCCTTAAAAAATACAGGTTTCTTTTTCTTGATAGCAAGTCTGGAGCTAGGTCGTTGCTGGTATTCATGCCATATTCACTCCCTAAGTGAGGCCAGAACCAGAATCTCTGTGATTATCTTAACCCTTTTCTCATGTTGGCAAGAGGGTTGGTCTGTGCCCCAGGCTCAAATCTATGTTCGAGGAAGGAAGAAGGAGGGACGTGAGAAGCTGCAAATAGCCACTTTCAGCAGGAACATAATGATTTTCCCAGAATATCCCTCAGAATAATCCTACATATATTTCACTGGTCAGAACTATACCCCATGGCATTTATAGCCTCTTTAATAGAGATTGTCAAGAAAGAAAAGATTAGGAAGCAGTGCTGGGTAGCAATTTACAGGGTTACAGTGCCAGAGCGCTTCTGAAAATAGGTGAGACCTTGCCAGAAGCTCCCAAATGAGGTCTAATGGTAATTTAAAATGTAGGATTCAGATCTGTACTTTGTTTTAGAAGCTGGTTTGCCTAAAGACTGTTTGGTAAATCAGAATGACATACACATACACACATCCATACAGCACTGCATATGTTTTATTAATAATAATACGTCAAGGGTTCTTTTCATCAGGCAGTGGGAACATGAGTCACTCTTGTCCTCTCAAGAAGACTGGACTTGCTTGCTAAGCAAACCGGAATGTCTATAGGCAATGCTAGAGACAGAAAGAGAGATGAGGAGGGCAGCAGGGCTGCCTGCCTGTCCCTTTACTGGATTTTCTCTGTGTCGTTGTTTCTTGGATTACCTTATAAAAATAATACAGCACAGATTTCTAGGCTGTGTGACCAACAGCATATAGCAGAAGTAATGGTAAGTCACTTCTGGTATTGGATTCTTAAAATCTGTCACTACCAACTAGGGTGCTCCCCCCATCCCACTCTCCGTCCTGTCTCACTCCAGGGAAAACCTGCTACCACACGTGAGCAGCCCTGGAGAGGGCTGCATGCCACCGAAGCCTCCAGCCAGCAGCAATAAGCTAAGACTTGCAACAGCAATGTGAGTGAGCGTGGAAGCCGACTCTTCCACCCCAGATGAGTCTTGCGATGACTGATGACTGCAGGCCTGGCCACCAGCTTGACTGCACCCTCCTGAGAAGCCATGAGCCAAAGCTATCCAGCCAAGCCACTCGCAGACCCCCCACCCTTAGACGCTATGAAAGATAATAAATGTTTCTCGTTTTAAGAGGCTGAGTTATGAGGGTCATTTGTTACACAGCAATAATTAACTAAAATACAACTCTAAAGAAGAAAAATCATGTAATCATTATGGTAGAGGCAGAAAAAGCATGTAATAATATTTAGCACATACTTATAATTTTTTTTAAAAAGCCTCCCAGTCAGCTAGAAGAAGACAATGTCCATATCTATGAGAGCCTCCTCACCACAGAAAACTAAAAAGCTATACTTAGCAGTGAAATGTTAAAACCTTTTCCTCTCAAATTAGAAACAACACAAGGATGCTTGCTATTGCCATTTTAATTCAACATTTTATCAGAGGACCTATTCAGTGAAGTAAGGAAAGAAAAAGAAATAAAAGAAGGATTGAATGGAAAGAATTAAGCTGTCATTATTTGCAGATGCCATGCTTGTGTTCACAGAAAATCCAAGAGTCTACACAAATAAACTATTTGAATATTTAGCAACGTCTGGATAAAATGTTAATAAAAATCATTGTATTCCTATATACCAGTAACAAAAAGTAGAAAAAGAAATTTAAAATTTATAGCATCTATAATAGCATTTAAAAATCAAACACCTGACAATAAATCTAGCAAAAGATTTGCAAGACCTTTCCACACAATGAATTATAAAACATTATTGAAAGAATTTAAAGAAGACATACATACATATGTGGGTCATGTTTATGTATTAGAAGGTGCATGTTAGTTTTCCACAAATGGATCTATAAATTCAACACATGCCGGTTAAGATCCCAGCAGGAATTTTTGAGAGACTTGATAAGTCAATGATAAAATGTACCTGGAAACACGAATGGCTATGAGCAAGGCAATTTTGGAGAAAGAGAAAAGTGGGAGAACTTAACGACCCAAAATAAAGACTTCTTATAAAACTGCAGTAATTTAGATGACTCATGGTGAAAGGATAGACATATGAACAATGGAACAGAAGAGAGAGCCTAGAAAGAGACCCACATGTTTAACACTTGATATAACAAAGATAACAGTACACACCAGTGTAGAAACGACAGCCTTTTCAACAAATTATACTAGATCAATTGGTCACCCATATGGAAATACACAAAATTGACCCCTTCCTCAAGTTACACATACAACTCAATTCTAGATGGGTTTTAGATGTGCATGTGAATGGTAAAATAATAAGTCTAGAACAGCACTATCCAATAGAAACATAATACAAGCACAAATCCGAGCCACATATCATTTTAAGTACTCTTGTCACATTTTAAAAATAAGAAACAGACTAAATCTTAATTACATTTTGTATTTAACTCAATATATCCAAAATATTATCATTTCAACATGTAACCAATATAAACATTACTGAGATATTTTACTTACATTGTCTTTGAATTCTAGTGTATATTTTACAATTACAACCCATCTCAATTTGTGTATTTATTTCAATAGCCTTTGGGTACAAGTGGTTTTTGGTTACATGGATGAATTACATAGTGGTGAATTCTGAGATTTTACTGCAGCGCTCACCCGAGTAGTGTACATTGTACCTAATGTGTAGTTTTTTTTATCCCCGGCCCCCTCTCACCCTCCCGCTTCTGAGTCTCTACAGTCCATTATATCACTCTGTATGCTTTTGTATACTCATAGCTTAGTTGTCACTTATAAGTGAGAAGATACGGTTTTTGGTTTTCCACTCCTGTGTTACTTCACTCAGAATACTGGTCTCCAGTTCCATCCAACTTGCTGCAAAAGACATTATTTCATTCCCTTTAATGGCCAAGTAGTATTCCATGATGTGTATACACCACATTTTCTTTATCCACTCATTAGTTGATGAGCACTTAGGTTGGCTTCACATGTTTGCAGTTGTGAATTGTGCTGCTATAAATGTATGTGTGCAAGTGTCTTTTTCATGTAATGACTTCTCTTCCTTTGGGTAGATACCCAGTAGTGAGATTGCTGGATAGACTGGTAGCTCTATTTTTACCTCTTTAAGGAAACTCCACACTGTTTCCATAGAGGTTGTACTAATTCACATTCCCACCAGCAGTGTATAAGCATTCCCTTTTCCCCATATCCACACCAACATCTATTATTTTTTGACTTTTGAATAATGGCCATTCTTGCAGGAGAAAGGTGGTATCTCACTGTGGTTTTAATTTGCATTTCCCTGGTGATTAGTGATGTTGAACATTTTTTCATGTTCATTTCTTTTGAGAAATGTCTATTCATTTCCTTTGCCCAGTTTTTAATAGGATTATTTGTTTTTTTCTTGCTGATTTGTTTGTGTTCCTTAAAGATTCTGGATACTAGTCCTTTGTTGGATGCATAGTTTGCAAATATTTTGTCCCATTCTGTGGGTTGTCTGTTTACTCTGTTGATTATTTCTTTCGCTGTGCAGAAGCTTTTTAGTTTAATTAGGTCCCATTTGTTTATTTTTGTTTTCATTGTGTTTGCCTTTGGGGTCTTAGTCATGAATTCTTTGCCTAGGCCTATGTCTAGAAGAGTTTTTCCAACACAACCCATCTCAATTTGGACCTGGCATATTTCAAGTGATCAACAGACACATGTGGCTAGTGGCTTCTGTAATAGTGCAGTTCTAGAATACAATTAGGATAATATCTTCATAACATTTGAGTAGGCAGAGGCTTCATAAACAGGACACACACACAGAGTTTAAATATTAGTGGATCTAGATTAAAAGGAAGGTTAGTTTATCAACTTGTATGGCTTAAACAACATTTATATCTCACAGTTCTGGAAGGTGGGAAGTCTAAGATCAAGGTGCCAGCAAATTTCATGTCTGGTGAGGTGTCTCATACTGGCTTGCAGGTGATGTCTTCTTAGTGTGTCCTCATATGATGAAGAGAGAAGAAGGGAGGAAGGGAGGAAAAGAGGGAGGGAAGAAGGAAAAGAGATATCTTGTCTCTTCTTACAAGGGTGTTAATCCCATCATGGGGGTTCCATAGTAACCTCTTCTATACCTAAATATGTCTCAAAGGCTCCAACTCCAAATACTATCACATTGGGAGTTAGGGTTTCAACATATGAATTTGGGGGGTGGGAGGTGCTATGGTTTGAATGTGTCCCCCAGATTTCATATGTTGGAAACTTAATCCTCAAATTCATACATTGATTGGGGGTGGCCCTTTGGGAGGTAATTGGGATTAGATGACATCCTCAGAGTAGGGCCCCCATGATGGAACTGGAGGATTTATGAGGAGAGAGAGACCTGAGCTCACACTCTTGCCCCTGCTCTCTTTGTCTTGTGATGTTGTCTGCCATGTAATGATACAGCAAGAAGACACTCACCAGATGTTGGTGCCATGCTTTTGGACTACTCAGTTTCCAAAACCACAAGTCAGATAAACTTCTGTTCCTGATAAGTTACATAGTCTGTAGTATTGTCTGTTTTGTTTTTGAGACAGGGCCTTGCTCTGTTGCGCAGACTGGAGTGCAGTAGCACAATCATAGCTTACTGCAGTCTCAGTCTCCTGGGCTCAAGCAATCTTCTCACCTCAGCCTCCCAGGTAGCTAAGACTACACATGTACACTACCAACCCTGGCTAATTTTTTAAGTTTTTTCTTTTTCAGACACAGGGTTTTGCTTTGTCCTGACTAGTCTCAAGCTCCTGGCCTCAAGTGATCTGCCTACCTTGGCCTCATAAAGTACTGGCATTACAGGCATGAGTCACTGCACCTGGCCTAGTCTGAAGCAGTCTGTTATAGCAATAGAAGATGGAATAAAAATGAGGAGAACACAAACATTCAGTCCATAACAAGGATTCGCAGAATTGGAAGCATGTGAGTGAGAAATGAGTGCTATACCTTTATTTCAATTTCGGTAATTGAGATCTTAGGTGAAATATAAAGTTAAGTGAGAAAATTTACTAGAATGTCTATAGCACTGTCCATTATCCATAATAGTAAAAACCAAAAATAATTCAATGTCCATTGACAATGGAGTAGATGAATTACTTGTTGTACATCCATGCAGTAAGAATGAACACTCCACTACAAGGACAAAATAGATAAATCTCTCAAGCATCATGTTGAGCAAGAGGAGCTAGACACAAAGAGTACATTCTGTATGATTATTTTTATACAAAGTTCAAAACAGGCAGAACAAACCTATTGTGTAAGAGGAAGAGGACAGTGATTACTTCCAGGGAGAAGGGAGGGAACAGTGATTGGAAAGGGGCATGAAGGGAGTCAGGGGGTACTAGTAGAGTCCGTTTCTTGTCTTGACCAGTGGTGGCATGGTGTGTGTAATTTATGATAATCTATTGAGCTGTATATTTATGATTTGTACATTTTTCTAAATGTTTATTTAAAATAACACATATTTATACTTCTCTTCTGAGAATCTCCTTAAAAGCATAACCTAATTTAGCTAAAGTCAGGAACTGGCAGTCTTCCTCTGAGTAATCAGAGGAAACTCTAGCATTTGGCATTTGCTTAACCACAGTAATGCCCATTCATGATTGCTGTAGGTCCTGCAGCTTTACAGTGAGTCCATCTGTCAATAGACGTTTATTAAACACCATCCTATACCCCATTCTCGTGGCCTTCAGGTCCAGTCAGCAGTTAGACAGCAACCTGGTCAAACAGCAGTGTGTAGAGCTTTCAGCTGCTAAAGCCAGGGAAGACATTCTACGGCTGTCCCAGATACCCCTTCAGAGATCTTTCTCATCATGGACCTCTACCCTGAAATGGACTCTAGAGTAATGAAGTCCATTCCCCCTCTGGGGAGGGGAATGAAGCAAAATATCCAGAGGAAAGGCAGAGGCTAGAGAAGGAATCTTACAGGATTCCAGAGGAGAAAGACAAGTTACGTGTAAGGAAAGAGATTCAGATTGGCCTCAGATTTCCTATCTTGCCTAGAGACTAGAATATTGTAATTTAACAACTGTAGACTGTGAAGAGAAAAACGCTTTGACCCAGGAATGCTCTTGTCAGCCAAGATATTATTCTCTGATTAATACAAAAGAAATATCCTTGAGAATTTGGAATATAATCACCCATACACCTAGAGCTGCCATATTGTACACACTCCAACAGTCAAACCCACATTTACCTTGTATAACCAGAAACAGCTGAGAGTCCACTAACAAAAAAAAAAAAAAAAAAAAAAAACAGAATCAAAACAAACACCTCAGTTTTGGGAATAGAAAAACAAAAGTGAGCAAGATTTGCCAAGGCTTATGTCTTTTCTCATTGGTCATGATAGAAATCTTAAAAAAGAAAAAGTAGAATTTTTACAAGCCATTTAATCTAGTCACAAGTCAATAAAACTAGAAAAAAATGAAGAGCAAGAAGGAAGCAAAAAAAAAAAAAAAACACCCTTACCTATTATAAAAAATTAAGAAGCACACCCATGGATCAAAGAGAAAACCAAAAGTGAAACTACAAATTGTCTAGAAAGCAATAGAGAAGAGTATATCTTCTGTCAATTCTATGCGCATAGCAAAAGCTATTTATGATTTCCAATGCCCTCTTTTAAAAGAAAAAAGAAATCTAAAACTGGATGTTGTATTTATCTATTTAAGAGATGGAAAAGTATAGAAAAATAATCTAAAACAGAAAGAAGGAATTAAAAACAGTACAAACAAAAATTTTGAATGGATAAATACTTTCCAGTGTTAGTCTTTGAAAAGACCAAAAAATGGCTAACTCTTATTAACCTGGTTTAAGAGGAAGCAAGGAAGGAAGGAAAGAAGGAAGCAATTAAAGAATTATAATACTTTGACAACAAATTTGAATCCCTAGGGGAAATGGGTGATTTTCTGTGAAATATGTATTAACAAAATTAACCAAGAAGCAGAAAAGTTGAATGGATGAATTACTGTAGTAGAGATAGGAAAGGCAAGTAAAAATCTACCACTAAAACATCACTGAAAACGAATTTTTAAAAATTCATTTTATTTTTATTTTTCCATAGGTTATTGGGGTACAGGAGGTATTTGGTTACATAAGTTCTTTAGTGGTGATTTGTGGGATTTTGTTACACTCATCACCCAAGTAGTATACACTGCACCATATTTGTGGTCTTTTTTCCCTCACCCTCCTCCCACCCTTCCTCCCAAGTCTCCAAAGTCCATTGTAACATTCTTATGCCTTTGTGTCCTCATAGCTTAGCTCCCATATATCAGTGAAAACATATGGTGTTTGGTTTTCCATTCATGAGTTACTTCACTTAGAATAATAGTCTGCAATCTCATCCAGGTCGCTGCAAATGCCATTAATTCATTTCTTTTTATGGCTGAGTAGTATTCCATCATATAAATATACCACAGTTTCTTTATCCACTTGCTGATTGATGGGCATTTGATTTGGTTCCACAATTTTGCAATTGTGAATTGTGCTGCTATAAACATGTGTGTGCAAGTATCTTTTTTGAATAATGACTTCTTTTTCTCTGGGTAGATACCCAGTAGTGGGATTGCTGAATCAAATGGTAGTTCTACTTTTAGTTCTTTAAGGAATCTCCACATTGTTTTCCACAGTGGTTGTACTGGTTTACATTCCCACCAGCAGTGTAGAAGTGTTCCCTGTTCACTGCATCCGCATCAACATCTACTGTTTTTTTATTTTTGATTATGACCATTCTTGTAGGATGAGGTGGTATTGCATTGGGATTTTGATTTGCATTTCCCTGATCATTAGTGATGTTGAGCGTTTTTTCATATGTTTGTTGGCCATTCGTATATATTCTTTTGAGAATTGTCTTTTCATGTCCTTAGCCTACTTTTTGATGCTTTTTTCTTACTGATTTGTTTGGGTTTGTTGTAGATTCTGGATATTAGTCCTTTGTCAGAGGTATAGATTGTGAAGATTTTCTCCCACTCTGTGGGTTGTCTGTTTACTCTGCTGACTGTTCCTTTTGCCATGCAAAAGCTCTTTAGTTTAATTAAGTCCAACTATTTATCTTCGTTTTTAGCTTTGCATTTGTTTTTAGCTTTGCATTTGCTTTTAGGTGCTTGGTCATGAAATCCTTGCCTAAGCCAATGTCTAGAAAGGTTTTTCCAATGTTATTTTCTAGAATTTTTATAGTTTTGGGTCTTAGATTTAAGTCCTTAATCCATCTTGAGTTGATTTTTGTATAAGGTGAGAGATGAGGATCCAGTTTCATTCTCCTACATGTGGCTAGCCAATTATCCCAGCACCATTTGTTGAAAAGGGTGTCCTTTCCCCACTTTTTGTTTGTGTTTGCCTTGTCAAAGATCAGTTGGCTGTAAGTATTTGGGCTTATTTCTGGGTTCTCTATTCTGTTCCATTGGTCTATGTGCCTATTTTTTATACTGGTACCAAGCTGTTTTGGTGACTATGGCCTTATAGTACATTTTGAAATCAGGTAGTGTGATGCCTCCAGATTTGTTCTTTTTGCTTAGCCTTGCTTTGGCTATGTGGGCACTTTTTTGGTTACATATGAATTGTAGAATTGTTTTTTCTAATTCTGTGAAGAATGATGGTGGTATTTTGATGGGGATGACGTTGAATTTGTAGATTGCTTTGGCAGCATGGTGATTTTCACAATATTGATTCTACCCATCCATGAGTATGGGATATGTTTCCATTTGTGTCGTCTGTGATTTCTTTCAGCAGTTTTTTGTAGTTTTCCTTGTAGAAGTCTTTTGACTCCTTGGTTAGGTATATTCCTAAGTATTTTAGTTTTAATGCAGCTATTGTAAAAGTGGTTGAGTTATTGATTTGATTCTCCGCTTGGTCACTGTTGGTGTATAGAAGAGCTACTGATTTGTGTACAATAATCTTGTATCCAGAAATTTTGCTGAATTCTTCTATCAGTTCTAGGAGCTTTCTAGAGGAGTCTTTAGGGTTTTCAAGGTAAACAACCATATCATCAGCAAACAGTGACAGTTTGACTTCCTCTTTACCAATTTGAATGCCTTCTCTTTCTTTCTCCTGTCTGATTGCTCTGACTAGGATTTCCAGTACTATGTTGAAGAGGAGTGGTGACAGTGGGAACCTTGTTTTGTTCCAGTTCTCAGAGGGAATGCTTTCAACTTTTCCCCATTCAGTATTATGTTGGCTGTAGGTTTGTCATAGATGGCTTTTGTTACATTGAGGTATGTCCCTTGTATGCCAATTTTGTTGAGAGTTTTACTGAAAAAGGAATGCTGGATCTTATTGTGTGCTTTTTCTGCATCTATTGAGATAATCATGTGATTTTTGTTTTTAATTCTGTTTAGGTGGTGTATTACATTTATTGACTTGTGTATGTTAAACCATCCCTGCATCCCTGGTATGTAACCCACTTGATCATGGGGGATTATCTTTTTGATACGTTGTTGGATTCAGTTAGCTAGTATTTTGTTAAGGATTTTAGCATCTAGGTTTATCAAGGATATTGGTCTGTAGTTTTCTTTTTTGGATATGTCCTTTCCTGCTTTTGGTATTAGGGTGATGGTGGCTTCATAGAATGAATTATGGAGGGTTCCCTCTTTCTCTATCTTGTGGCATAGTGTCAAAAGGATTGGTACCAATTCTTCTTTGAATGTCTGCTAGAATTCTGCTGTGAATCCATCTGGTCCTGGACTTCTTTTGTTGGTAATTTTTAAATTACCATTTCAATCTCACTGCTTGTTATTGGTCTGTTCAGGGTATCTAGTTCTTCCTGATTTAAGCTAGGAGAGTTGTATTTTTCCAGGAATTTACCCATCTCTTCTAGGTTTTCTAGTTTATGCATGTGAAGGTGTTCGTAGTAGCCTTGAATGATCTTTTGTATTTCAGTGGTGTCAGTTGTAATATCTCCCCTTTCATTTCTTAGGTTATTTGGATTTTCTCTCTTCTTTTCTTGGTTAATCTTGCTAATAGTCTATCAATTTTATTTATCTTTTCAAAGAACTAGCTTTTTGTTTCATTTATCTTTTGTATTTTTTTTTGTTTCAATGTTTCAATTTCATTTAGTTCTGCTCTGATCTCTGTTATTTCCTTTCTTCTGCTGGGTTTGGGTTTGGTTTGTTCTTGTTTCTCTAGTTACTTGAGGTGTGACCTCAGAATGTCAGTTTGTGCTCTTTCAGTCTTTTTGATGTAGGCATTTAGGGCTATGAATTTTCCTCTTAATGCCGCCTTGCTGTATCCCAGAAGTTTTGATAGGTTGTGTCATTATTGTCGTTCAGTTCAAAGAATTTTTTAATTTCCATCTTGATTTTGTTTTTGATCCAGTGTTCATTCAGGAGCAGGTTATTTAATTTCCATGTATGTGCATGGTTTTGAAGATTCCTTTTGGAGTTGATTTCCAGTTTTATTCCACTGTGGTCTGAGAGAGAGTGCTTGATATAATTTCAATTTTCGTAAATTTATTGGGGCTTGTTTTATGGCCTATCACATGGTCTATCTTGGAGAAAGTTCCACACGTTGTTGAATAGAATGTGTATTCTGTTGTTGTTGGATGAAATGTTCTATATATATCTGTTAAGTCCATTTGTTCCAAGGTATAGTTTAAATCCATTGCTACTTTGTTGACTTTCTGTCTTGACGACCTGTCTAGTGCTGTGGGTGGAGTATTGAAGTCCTCCACTATTATTGTGCTGCTGTCTACCTCATTTCTTAGGTCTATTAATAATTGTTTTATAAATTTGGGAGCTCCAGTGTTAGGTGCATATATATTTAGGATTGTGATATTTTCCTGTTGGATAAGGCCTTTTACCATATATAATGTCCCTCTTTGTCTGTTTTAACTGCTGTTGCTTTAAAGTGTGTTTTGTCTGATATAAGAATAGCTACCCCTGCTTGCTTTTGGTGTCCATTTGCATGAAATGCCTTTTTCTGTCCTTTTACTTTAAGTTTACATGAGTCCTTATGTGTTAGGTAAGTCTTCTGAAGGCAGCAGATGGTTGGTGAGCTCCTATCCATTCTGCAGTTCTATATCTTTTAAGTGAAGCATTTAGGCCATTTACATTCAATGTTAGTATTGAGATGTGAGGTACCATTGCATTCATTGTGCTATTTGTTTCCTGTGTACCTTGGATTTTGTTTTTGCTTTTTAACTAGTATTTTTGTTTTATAGGTCCTGTGTGATTTATGCTTTAAAGGGGTTTGAGAACAAATGGTTTTAGTATTTGGTTTCATCCACACTTTAAAGAACAAATAATTCCAAACTATAGGAAAAGTTGTCCTAATTTATTTTATACAGCTAAGACAGAAACTTGATATAGTATAAAAGGAAAAATATAGCCTAATTGCATTTATGAATATGAAAATAAAAATTCTGATAGAATATCAGCAAATAAAATACAGTAATGCATCAAAAGAAATATACTATGACCAAGGAACTTTTATTCTAGAAATGCCAGGTGGTCCTAGTATAAGGAAATCTATATGAAATTGATTATGACAACAGATTAAAATAGAAAATCCATGTGGTCACATTTATAGATATTGAAAAAGCACTTAATAATGTTCAGTAGCCAGTTTTCAAAAGAATTCTAAATAAGATAAGAATAAGAATCAACTGAAATATGTTACAAGCTGATTACAAAGTTTCATTGGCCAATATCATTCTAAATAGCCAATAGCTAAAGCATTTCAATTATTCTCAGAAACTAAGCAAGAATGTCAGCTCTGCCATTTTTCTTGAACAGTATCTTTCTTGGAAGTATTAGCAAATGCAATTAGACAAAAAAGTAAAACAATTGGCATAATTATTAATAAAAAAATTCTCTTGCTAATGATATAATTTTATGTCAAGAAAAACAATTTAGCAAAATGACTAGATGTAAGATAAATATACAAAAATCAATAGTTTTTCTTTATGCTGTTTGTCACGTAGAGGAAAAAGTGACTTAAAAATACTTTCATAATAGTGACAAAAACTATTGGTGTAAAATTTATGTGAATATAATAGTGAAAGCATGCTACGTATACAAAGAAAACTTTTTAAATGTACTTAAAAGATACAAAATGAGTTCTGAATAAAAGAAAAGATACGGGCAGGCATAGTGGCTCATGCCTATAATCTTAGCACTTTGAGAGGCCAAAGTGGGGTGATTTCTTGAGTTCAGGAGTTCAAGACCAGCCTGGGCATAAGAGCAAGAGCCCATCTTTACAAAAAAAAAAAATGAGCCAGGTATGGTGGTGCACGCCTGTAGTCCCAGCTACTTGGGAGGCTGAGACAGGAGGATTGCTTAAGCCTGGGAGATTGAGGCTGCAGTGAGCTATGATTATGTCACTGTACTCCAGCCTGGGTAACAAAGTAAGACCCTGTCTCAAAAAAATAAATAAATAATAAAATAATAAAAGTATGTCTTTTTATGGATGAGAAGACAATATTATAAAAATTAATTTCTCTTCAAATTATTATGCATTGTGTAAAGTTAATGGAATTTCTATTAGAATGTTGGCAGAATTTTCTTCACCTTAAATATGACTAAAATTATCTTAAAGTTCATTTGGAAAAATAACAAAGAGGAAGTTGTAAACACAAAGGACTTGTTTATACCAACTATTCAAACATACTTAAAAGCTACTGTAATGAAATCAATTGTATTGGCGTAAGAATAAGCAAATACAGTTGTCCCTCGATATCCACTAAGGATTAGTTCCAGGAACTCTGAGGCTACCAAAACTCATGGATAATCAAGTCCCTGACATAAAATGGTAAGGCATTTACATATAACCTACACACATCCTTCCTTGTAATTTAAATCATCTTTAGATTGCTTATAATACCTAATACAATATAAACATTATGTAAATAGTTGTTATATTATATTGGTTTTTTAATTTGTATTATTTTTTCTTGTTACAGTGGTTTTTTTTTTCAAATATTTTCAGTCCGTGATTGGTTGAATGGAAGGCTGAGTGCAGATCTATTAAACAGAACACATGGTCTAGAAATAGACTTTATTTTGAAGTAAGAATTTAATGTATAACAAAGTTACTATGTCAACGATCATGAATTTTTTTTAAAAAAGAAGATTCTCAAGTTGTTAACATGAGTTATCATTGGAAGATTGGGTGGGAAAAATAGGACACACAGTCGAAATGGGAAAAAAGACAGGGAGGGATAAGAAAAAGCAAATATAACAATAATAGTAACAACTAACACTTACTTAGCCCATACTAGGTCTCAGATGCTGTTTATATATGTATATACCAAAGATACCAAAATCTGAGAATGCTCAAGTCTCTTACATAAAATGATGAAGTGTTTGCATATAATTTACACACATCCTTCAGTATACTTTACACAATCTCTAGATTACTTATAATACCTAATATAATGCATACACATAACTTCCTGTGAATTCAACATAGTACTCTCTATGTGGTAAATTCAAGTTTTGTTTTTCCCCATATATTTTCAGTCTGAGGTTGGTTGAATTCACAGATGTGGAGCTCACAGATACAGAGGGTTGACTGGATTCTCTCTACATGTACTCTGTATATTACGTACCTATATATGAGCACACACACACACATATATATATATATGTATTTTGTATACACACACACACATAGTATGTGAATATTCCCCCCTTCTCTCCGTAGACATACATAAAAATTGATCTAATTCCTGTAGCAAACCAATAGGATAGATACTGTCACTAACCCAATTTTGCCAGATGCTGTAACAGGAGCACAGAGAGCAAAGTTGCCTGGATTTGCACAGCTAATGAGTGGTAGACTAAGGATTCCAAACTAGACTGTCTCATTCCAGAGTCTGTGCTTTTAACTACTATAACACACTGGCTCCTAAAAAAGCAGGGGCTTGGGGAGGGTTTGCCTAAATGACAGAAAGTATGATAAGGTCCTGTTCACTGGGGCATGACCCTGACAGTGAGTGCCTCCTTAAATTTTGTGCCTAGGCACCCTGCTTGCCCACCCCAGACTCAGTTATTACATTTACATAAACACTTATATATGCATATGTGCAAAAGGAATTACCAAAAAAGATAGAATTAGATCTGTATTCATGCACCTGTAGAAATACACATGATGTTGACAAATGAAAAGGGCAAGTTATAGCATAATAATTCTATTTCAGTGAGAACAGATACATGCAACAAAATGTTAAATGAGGTGCTTTGTCGCATACTTTCAAATGATAGATATTAGAGGACAAGAACCAGTTAGGTAACAAATTCACAAGGAAGATATTTTTTAAAGTTATAGAACTCATAGAAGGGGAATATTTAAGTTATTTCTTTGGAGAAGGCTGCTGTCTCTGTGAGTCCCACCTCCCCATTTCAAGGGGAGGACATGAAAGTGTCACTTTGTCTTCATCACTCCTAAAGAAAGGCAGCTTCAACAGCCCTCAGGGAGCCTGAATATCTGCCCATGGAGATAGAGAGGCACATTGGACTGGCCCAACAGACACCTGAGCAGATTGGCTGCATCGCATAGGGACAGGGAACACCATTCCCATAATATATTATGTGAGTAGTGCCTCTCTACTTGAGACCTTGGCCATCTGCCTGAAGGAGATAGGAGAGAAAAACAGACACACACAGAAAGAGAGAGAAAGAAAGAGACTGAGAAGAGAGATCCTGAGTTGGGAAGTAACTGCATTCCCCTATAACAAAGACAAGGGTACTACAAGAAACCCAGGGATTTCTTGGGTTTGAAGCCTGCAAGGAGAATATCAGCCTGGAATTTTTAAAACAGGAAACCTGTCCAAGAGTGTATTTCTGAACTGAGTGGTCCTTGTTGCAAACAATCTGTGTGATGGATGGCTAGCAAACTTACCTGAGGGGGAACTGGGAACAGCCAGCCCGGGACGGAGGCCATGGGGCTCACAGTCCAAGGCAGCAGGGAGGCCTCGGATGAACCTACAGACATGCACAGGAAAGAAGCCACTTTCAACACCCGCCAGAGCAAGGGAACACATAGCTGTCTCACAACAGCACCAGCCAAGTTAAGAACTTTGCCCTCCTGACTCCCACCCTAGAAGGGTCAGTAGCAGCAGCTAGGAGTGGAGGGAGGAATGGAGAAGGAATGAGAAGAAGTGCCATCGCCCCCTCCTCCTGAGGACAGACATCCCACCCACAGGCTGGAGGGAAGGCGGGGGTGATAAATGGAATGAGTAGAAATCTGAATGTTGAATGAAAATGTATTAAATAGGATATTCTCATTTTTGAATAGAAGCTGAGTTTTTCTATGAAAAATGACTAAGACTTTCTATTTCTATGTGAGACAAGCACAGCCCTGCAGCCTGCTGGAGTCTGCATCCAGACAGTGGTAGGGGACAAAATTCCCTCACTGAACATATTGGGAAGGGACAGTGGGATACTAAAATGAATACACTTGGACTATATCCCACAGGTCATGCTTGCACAGCATATCAGTTGCACAAGCAGGACCCTGCCCTGTTCATCTCCCTTAAGATGTGCCTATGTCCATGTGTTGTGTAAACAAGGAGAGAGGTGGGCAGATATACGAAAAGCTGGTAAAATCAGTTACCTTAGTGGGTGGTGGGACAGGAGCACCTGAGAGCAGGGTGCTGGGTGTGGGTGGAGAGCTCCAAGCAGAGAGCAAAAGGTGGGTGAGCTCTTCAGAAGACACACTGAAACCGTGTCACAGTTTTGCCCAGGTTCCTGTCAGTATTTCTGGAACCGCTGATAGCCCTAAAGGCTTGCAGGAGAGCTGGGGTCCTGACATTTGCCCAACAGCTCCCCAGTCTCTGTTGTCAGCCTCAGCCCAATACAAAGACTACTGGGTACACAGGGCCTCAGCCCTTGTCGGGTAGAATGAGATGATACCGGGTCATGGCCATATTGCACATCCAGTCTTCCTGTCTGTAATCCTGGTAAGGGCAGACCAAAAAAGTCTCTAAATGTCCTCTTGCGCCCCTCAGCACTTTGATTGCTAACGTAGACAGCACTTTCCATATTTTATTAAAATGTTGTGTTTTTATGTCTGTTTCTTAGAAACAGAAAGCAAGTCCCTTAAGGTAAGGACCAATTCATATGCATCTTTGCATACTCAGTAGTTAGCTTGCAGGTACTAATAAATGTTATTTGTACTGGACTATACACATACAGGTTCCTTGTTGAAAGATTCTTAACTCACTCAGTGACAGACAACAGTGACGATCATTGTTTGTGGCTGAACTTTCTGGAACAAGTAACAAGAACATAGTGCTTTGCTCTTCCATGAAGTCAGAATATCCCAGGGCCATGTGGGCATTTGCCTAGTGCCTGTGCTGTTTATTTTGGGTTGTCTCTCCTTTCCACTGGAATATAAGTCTAATAACATTGCCTGATTTGTCTACCACTATCCCTAGTACTCAGAATACTGTATAACGGAGTTGAATGAATGAACAAAAGAAAGGATCCATTCTTTCAGGTGAATGGTTTGTTCATTGCTAGCCCTGGTTACCAGGGCCTGTGTAAGGTGTTGGGGATTCAGGAAGAGATAAGATGTAATCCAATCCATAGCCTCAAAAATCTCACCTTCTGGGGTAGGAAAAAAAGATGGAGACAGACAGCTAAACAAATAATTCAAATAATTATGGAACTGCGTAGAGTCTTCTGACAGTAGAGGCTTTAAGAAAGAGGGATGTAAGCATCTTTGTCTCCAGGGTGGCAGGGCACACAGGGAAGGAGAGGTCTCAGGTAGGCTGCAGCATGGTGGCTGACTGATAAATCCTGCCTCATTTCCTCCAGTTCTATGCCCAGGGCCATGCAGATTTGAGGGCCTGCTCTGGACAGAGGTGGCAGCTCTGTGCTGTGATTTGAGCGTGCTACCAGAATCCAAAGCATCTCACTTCTGGACTGCCACACAGCCACAGATTCCTGCCATCCTTGCTCATTTCTGTGGTCAAGACAAGAAAACTCTGTTGCAACAGTCATTCCATCTGAGAAGGCAGATAGAACAGAGGCAAATTCTGCAGAATTGGAAACCCAAACCAATCAACATGTTGGTAGTTTCTGAGGAAAGTTCAATGCTAAAACTCTCAAATCCATAGCTGCACTATTCTCCTTATTCTTCGTCAGTCAAACAATAAAGGAATATATATTTATTTGTATATGTAATACATATATTTTAATCTTCGTGCTTGGTTGATAGTTTGGCTAATATACATGGAAATGATTTTCCTCCAAATTTTGAAAGCACTGCTTTACTGTCTTACAGCTCCTGGTGTTTTCATTGAGATTTCCAATTTCCAGTGTTTTGAATGTGGCCAAGTTATCTCCTCCCATCCTGGAAATGTATAAGTTCTTCTGTCTCCAGTGTTTTGAAATGTGACACAAATACCCCTTGATGAGTGTTCACTTTCATTCATTTTTCTGGGCACTTGGTGGCCCCTTTGAATCCAAAATGTATATTTCCATCTCTCTTTTTCTCCATCTTCCATGATATTTCCACAAGTAGATCTTCCAGTCTTTTTATTGAGTTTTTAATTTCTGCTACCATTTACTTTGGTTTGTTGTTTTAATTCTCAGAGCTTTTTGTTTCCTGAGTGCTCTTTCTTTTACTTTATTTATATTTTTTAAAGTTTTTTGCGAATCTTGTTTTTACTTCAGTTTCAATATATTCTCTACTATCTCTCAGGATACTAAAGATAATTTTTTGAAGATTTTTCCCACTCTGAAGTCTGTCTCTTTCAAGTTATATGGTATGTGTTTCCTTGGTTTCACACTTATTCATGGCTTGTAATACAAGTTTTCCTTGGGCATCTGGTACTCGTTGGCTGTGTGCTTGCATTTAAGAACAAGGACTACAAGTCTGATTGGAAACTTTGGGCACATAGTGAGCATACCCTCAGTGGGTTCACTCCTTCCCTCCAGGGTGTTCTGGCAGAGTCATTTCATTAGGAAAGACACTTCATTGGGGAAAAAAACCTTTAGCGTTCTGCTAGCGTTGAAGAGGGCAGGTATGTGACTGAACAAAAAGTTGCAAAAGGTTTGTAGGACTTTAATTGCTTCTTAATTGGTGCTTAACCAATATACCTTACATTAGCATCTCATGTTAACCACACTACCAGGAGTGCTTGGAATCAATTCTCACACTTTAATCTATGCTGGGTTATTTTCTCAACTTTTCCCATTATTGGTTTAAGAATTAGCCTTTTCTAGATCAGCAAACCCTTTACCCATCATCCTTCCAGCTTCCAAAATTTTGTTGCCATTGCCTTCTCTACAGTACTCTCTCTCCTTTCAGAGAATTATGCTTATTTATAATTCCAGACTCTTACTTTCCAACTATAATTGGCAGAAGAATGACCCCCTAAAGATGTGCATATCCCAGTCCCTAGAACCTGTGAATTCACAAGTTACATGGCAAAGGGAACTATGGTTGCAGATGGAATTAACTTTGCTACTCAGCTCCCCTTAAAATAGGGAGATTATCCCGGGTTGTCCAAGTGGCCCCAGTGTAATTGCAAGGGGCCCAAAAAGTGGAAGAGAGAGGCAGAAGAGGGGGCCAATGTGGTGCAATGTCAGAAGGAATCAACCTGCTATCGCTGGCTTTGAAGGTGGAGAAAGGGAGTCCACAAAGGGTGGGAGCAGCCTCTAAAAGCTGGAAAATACAAGAAAAGGGATTCTACTCAGAGCCTCCAGAAACAAATGCAGCCCAGCTGACACCTTTAGGTTAATCCAGTAAGACCCACGTTGAACTTCTAACCCACAGAACTGTAAGAATAAATTTGGGTTGTTGGTGTTTGCTCCACTCTTTGTGGTAATTTGTACAGAAGCAATAGCAAACTAATACACAAACCATGAAAAATTAATTTACCCTCCATCTGTAAATAGCTAGAAACTGAACACAATATATGAAACAACTGTTTTTAGATGTTGGCAATGGCAGCATAGGGCTGTGATCCTCAAAACATGGTACACAAACAAAGTGAGCCCTGTGAGTGTCCCCACTTTTTGTCTGGAGACAATTTATAGGCTTCAGTGCACAGAAGGAAACTCAACAGAGCCCAGTAGTTTCACAAAGGTGAAAAGTCAGAGATCTTAGTTTAGGGAGGCCAAGGAGACTAGAATTTCTAGGACTGAGTACTAGAGAGTTCAGGAGCTACACAGAGAAAGAGTCTAGGAATCAGCATGGGGATCCCTTTTAGTGTTTTTAAGAATATCAATCTGCACATAAATAGGGTTAAATCCCATTACACCCTGCCAAATCAACTTTTGGAGAAAAATAATTTCTGGGAAGCTGTAACTGAACAATTCCCAGAGCTCATACAGGAATCACACAGGCAATAATCATCATTAAGTTCCCATAAGGAGGGAGACCTAAGAAGACACAAGACTCTGAAAATAAAATTCTTTAGTAGTGGGACTAAACTAGTCCTGGAATAAAAAATTTTCTAGACCTACTCAAAAACAAAAACTTAAAAATAAAACTCAAAATGATCCAATACTTTCTTACCTACAGGGTAGAACTAAGTCCAAAACCTTTAAAAGAATATTATACACAAGCATAAAACTCATAGGCACAGCATTCAATAACAATAATTAGACATGTGAGGAAGCAGGAATGTGCAATCCAAAACCAGGGGAAATGATCAGTCGATAGAGATATATCCAGAAATAAAAGAGAGGATGGAAATAGCAAGACTAAACTTTGTTATTTATATGTTTTACATACATAAAAGAAGGTTTAGAAAAACCATAAGCATATTGAAGACAGAAATTAAAGATGTTAAAAAGTAAAAACCAGATTGAATTTTTAGAGTTGAAAAATAGAGTGTCTGAAATAAAAAAATTCACTGCCAAAATTAACAGAAGATTAGATACGGTAGAAGAAAAGATTAGTGGACTTGAAGTAATAACAATAGAAAACCACCCAATGAAACATGCAGAGAAAAAAAAAACTGAAAGCAATGAACAAATTATCAGTGACATAGGAAAATTAGTATAACATACAAGTAATTCAAGTCCCATTCAGAGAGGAGTAGGAAGGAACGGAAAAAAATGCCAAAAAAATTTCAAATTGATGAGTTATAAGCCCACAGATTCAAGAAGAGCAAGAAAACTCAAGCAAGATAAACACAAAGAAAACCACACAGAGACACACCATAATCAAGTGGCTGAAAACCTGTGATAAAGGGAAAACGTTAAAACCAACCAGAGAAAAAAGATACATTATGTACTAAGCAATAAAGGTAAGAATGACTACAGACATTTTTGTCAAAAATTGTGCAAATCAGAAGACAATGAGAAAACATGTGTAGAGTGATTAAGGAAAATATTGTCAAATAGAATTCTCTTCTCAGAAAAAACTTGTAAAAGTGCAGGTGGAATCAAAATTTTTCAGATGATAAACAAAATCTGCACTATTTCTTTGCCAACAGACTCACTACAAGAAATGTAAAAGGGTCTGTTCAAATGTAAAAGGAAGTTCTTCAAGCTGAAAAAAATACTTATCAGCTTGAAGAAAATATTTATCCAAATATTATTGTGTTGGGATCAACACAAAAGAGAGTAGGAAGGATGCCTTAAAATCTGGACTGAGAAAACATTGGAAGGTGGTAAACATGTTCATTACTTTGATTATGATGATGGATATAATCATACTATGATTTTAGTTTAAAAAGTAAAAACCAGAATACAAAATACAAAATTAGCGAGGTGTGGTGGCACATGTCTGCAGTCCCAGTTACTCGGGAGACTAAAGCAGGAGAATCACCTGAAACTGGGACTTGGAGGTTGCAGTGAGCCAATATTGTGCCACTGCACTCCAGCCTGGGTGACAGAGTGAGACTCTGTCTCAAAAAGTAATAATAAGAAGAAGAAGACAAAACAACAAAACAACCAATTTAACAATGGGCGAAAGATAAATAGACATTTTACAAAAGAGGATGTACAGGTGGCAAATAAGCACATGAAAAATGTTCAACGTCATCAATCATCAGAGAAATGATAATTAAAACCACAATAATATATCACTACACACCCACTAAAATGGCTGAAATTTAAGAGACTAGACTTACCAAGTGTCAGTGATGATGTGAAGCAATTGGAATTCTTGTTCACTGCTGGTACAACTGTTTGGGAAAGAATTGTGCTGTTTCTTTGAAAGTCATACATACACTTACCATATGACCCAGCAATTCCAGTTAGGTGAAGGAAAACTTATATTCACATAAATACTTGCACATAAATGCTTATAGCAGTCTTATTCTTAGAGCCAAAAAATTGGAGACAATGTAAGTGTCTAGCAACAGGTAAATGGATTAAACAAATTGTCATCTATCCATAGTATGATATACTGTTCAGCATTAAAAAAGAAGAAACTGTTGATATATGCAACAACTTATGTGAATCTCAAAATATTATACTGAGCAAAAGTTAGAGCCAAAAGACTTTATACTGTATGTTTCCTTTTTTATGAAATTATTGAAAGCACAAAACTAATCTATAATGACAGAACACAGATTAGTGGCTTCCCGGGAACAGAGTTGTTAGTGGATTGCCTGTCAAGAGACATCTTGGGTAATGGAATTATGTAATATCTTGATTGTGATGGTGGTTACATCAATATACAAATTTATGAAAACTCATCAAACTTTGTCTGTAAAATGGGTGCATTTGATTGAATTTAAATTATACCTTAGGGAGGTTACAAAGAGATAAACTTGTTGTTTTTTTTTAAAAAAAAACCTCTCTATTGTCTGTTTAGTCAGATTTATGGAGGGAATGAAATTATATGTGTGTTTTCAATCTATCATCTTGACTAACAAGTTTTTGGTAATTTTTGAAGCATCCCTACAGGGCTTGGCTGCATGTCACGTACTCAAGAACTTACATAACAGCTAATATTTTTATACTACTTCATAATTTACAAGGAATTTCACACATATCATATCTCATTTTATCTTAAAAAAATACCTCAAGAGATCTGGCAATGATTTCTTGGATACGACACCAAACCAAAGGAAACAATAGTAAAAATAGATAAATTGGACTACACCAAATTAAAAACTTCTGTGCATCAAAGCACACAATCAATAGAATAAAAAGACAATCTATGGAATAGGAGAAAATATTTGCAAATCATATATCTGTTAAGGGGTTAATATCCAGAATATACAAAACACTCCCACAACACAACAACAACAGAAAAATAATCCAACTAAAAAACGAGCAAAGGACTTGAATTGACATTTCTCCAAATAAGTTACACAAATGGTTAATAAGCACACAAAAAGATGTTCAATATCACTAATAATTAGGACAATGTAAATCAAAGCCATAATGTTATCTCATACTCATTAGAATAGGTACTATTTTAAAAAATAATAAAAAATAACAAAAATTAGTGTTGGTAAGGATGTAGAGAAATTGGAACCCTTGTGTGCTGTTGGTGGGAATATAGATGGTGCATCCTCTTAAAACAATATGGCAGTTTCTTAAAAAACTAAAAATAGAATCGCCACATGATCCAGACATTCTACTTCTGGGTATGCACGCAAAAGAATTGAAAGCAGGGACTCAAAGAGATATTTGCACACTCATGCTCATAATAGCATCATTCACAATAACCCAAAGGCAAAAGCAACCCAAGTGTACATGGACAAATGAGTGAACAAACAAAAGGTGGATCGTCCATACAATCGAATATTATCTAACTTTCAAAAAGGAGGAAGTTCTCTCACAGGCCAACGTGGATGAAACTTCACTTACGTTAAGTGAAATAAGCCAGTCACAAAAGGGCAAATACTGTACGATTTCATTTAGGTGAGGTTCCTAGAGGAGTCCGATTTCTAGAGACGGAAAGAAGTGGTTGCCAGGGGCTGGGGCAGGGGAGAGATGGGGAGATGTTGCTGAATGGATACAGGGTTTCAGTTTGGGAAGATAAAAAGAATTTTGTGGATGGATGGTCGCATAACATTGAGAATGTCCTTAACACTACTGAATTGTGCACTTAAAAATGGTTAGGATGGTAAATTCTATGTTATGTGTATTTTACTACAATTTTAAAAGCACCACGAGAGGCAGATCTTTATCTCCACTGTACAAATGAAAAAAACTGTGGTTCGGAGAGGTTAAAGAACTTGCTGAACGTCCCATACCAAACTGGTAGTGGGGCCTGAATATGAACCGAGATCTTCTTACCATGAACTCTGTGTCATTTCCACTTCCTATCAAGTTGGCTTTTTTTAAAAAAAAAGATTGATTGATTGCAGAATGGCTGAGCTCTGGCATACCTTTCCCAGGCGTGCTAATCGCTAGCTTTGCCTTTCATTCTCTTCCTCCCACACTCTTCAAAACAGCCCCGAGTGAGCTCTCCGCACCCACTTGAAGAACATTCATGCAGTGATTCACTCTTCATCAACAACAAAGTGTCCTTCCAGGGGCCACAGACCACACTCAAAGCGTCTGGATTAGAGGTCCCCAAATCAGGAGGCTGAATCTAACGGTGGGTCTGGCCAGGCTAGTGGAGGAGAGGAGGCTCCCAGCCAGGGCAATTGCCCGTTTTCTCTGTCCCCTGAGTGCTACGTCTCGGTGGTTCTCTCTCCTTCCACGGATGTGTTGCAGGTGCCTTAGTAAAAGCCCTAAGGACTCGCCTCCTTGCCAGCGGGACTGTTCAGGTCCTGATTCAGAGCACCTCACCCTGTACCCCAGTGTCTAAATCCCACACTGACTTCCCGCCCTTCTGAGCAGTCCTGCCTGCTTCCCGGCGTCACCCTGGATCTTCCTGATTCTGTTCTGCAGCCCCCACACTGTGCAAGCGGAGGCCAATCCCAGGTGCCCAGGCCTTTCACCCACACCCAAATGCTGCCTAGGTCTGGCCCGCGCCAGTTCTTTCTTGTCTAGAGGGAAGAAGCCATCTCCTGGCTCCCGGCTGGCGTTCCAGGAACAGCACCGGCTTTCCCCGTCCTCCTCTCCTGGGTCTTTCTGCCAGCATTTCCCACCTTGAGGATCTGGGAAAACGACAAGACACTTTTGCTCATAAAATGCTGAGGCCCTTTCTCCAGAACCCAGACTCCCTTCCTGTGTCTTCAGTGACATCCACAAAATGCCCCTCCCTGCTCTGTGTCGGCCTAGGACACACACACACCAGACACACATATGTGCATGCACAGCCCCCCACATTACATCCATACCACACACAACACACGCATGACCCCCACACAAATATACAAATCACACACACACACACGCATACACACACGCATACACACACACCTCACACACATACAGCCACACCCCCTCCACACATAACTCATACATGCTAACTCCCCCCACACTGCACACATATACCACACACACATGCATACACACACCTCACAACCCCACATATGCATACACGCACACACCCCACCATGTACATACACACAGCCCACAAACATACACACACCCCA